>NC_000012.12:30749333-30902028 GCF_000001405.40 Homo sapiens | reverse complement strand
GTAAGGGGCAGAGCTGAGATTTCAACTCACATCTGGCTGTCTCTAAACCCTGCACTTTTACTGCTTACTACCCTATACTAGCTGGGGGTAGCATTTCTCATCCGTCTTACTTCAGGCAAGACAAGAAAAAAGTGATATTTAAGATCATATAAGACCATTTATCTCCCCTCTCAGGTCTCTTCCTTCTTATTCCCTAAGCACTTTGTGTGTGTGTGTGTGTGTGTGCTGATGCCTGATGCCTCTCAATTCACCCTTCTCTGACTATACTACCTGAAATGTGGTGAATAAATTATGCTTTTGTACAGTGGACCCTAGATTATGGAGCTCTACTCTGATTTGACCCCATGGTGCCCAAGACCTCAACTGCTTGCCAGCACCACACTGTGAGTGATGCAATTACATTCTGGAATCAGCCATTCGCGTGTGAGAAAGACCACACTAGATAAATCCATAGAGAGCATTGCAGTGACCAGAACACTTTCTGGGTTCTTTCATAAAGGGGGATGTATTAGTTTGTTTTCACGCTACTGATAAAGACATACCTGAGACTGGGAAGAAAAAGAGGGTTAATGGATTTATAGTTCCATATGGCTGGGAAGGTCTCACAATCACAGCAGAGGGCAAAAAGGAGCAAGTCATGTCTTACATGGATGGCAGCAGGCAAAGAGAGAGTTTGGGCAGGGAAGCTCCCACTTTTAAAACCATCAGATCTTATGGCACTTACTCACTCTCATGAGAACAGCATGGGAAAACCTGCCCCCATGATTCAATTACCTCTCACCAGGTCCCTCCCACAACACATGGAAATTCAAGATACAATTTGGGTGGGGATAGAGCCAAACATATCAGGGGACTTGAGGAAACCTGCAGATGGGAGTGGGGAATATATTTTTCTATTTGTTTCAAAGAAAGAGATCACAGAGCCCAACTCTCTTCCTTTGTCAATGAAGAAATGGAGCCCCAGACTGGTAAGTGAAATGTCCGGGGTCATAGTTGGTAACTGACAGACCTGGGGCTGGAACTATAGATTCCATGCTTATTATGCTGCAAAATCCCTAAGGATATGCTCTTGTGTAGCCTTTGCTGGGGTCAAGCACTTGCCCAGCCCTTGATCCTGCACTGTCCTTTCCCACCCTTCCCTTCTCTGTCTTGTTTTTTGGAAGGCATTTGCTCATTCTTTTCTTCCTTCCCTGTTCATTCTTAACCAACATTTATTATCCTCCCTCTGTGTGCCAGATCCCATGCTAGGCACAGGAGGTATGAAGCAAAAAGAAACAGTGTTGGCCAGGCACAGTGGCTCATGCCTGTAATCCCAGTACCTTGAAGCCAGGAGTTCAAAACCAGCCTGGACAACAAAGTGAGACCCTGTCTCTATTAAAACAAAGGAAAAGAAATGAGAGAAAGCGAGAAAGAGAGAAGGAAAGAAAGAAAGAAAGGAAGAAAGGAAAAGAAAGAAGAAAGAAAGGAAAAGAAAAGCAAGAAAGAAAGAAAAAAAAGGAATTTAGAAAAAGAAACACATTATTAGCCTTCAAGGAGGTCACTGTTTAAGTGGAGAGGGGAATATAATCTGGCACCATGATCCATTGTGCTCAGTACTAGAGTAACAGTCATCTACTGCTCTGGGGACACAGAAAAAGCAAGGGTGCTTTGAAATTATGTGGCCACTTGAGAGTTTTCTGGGGAAGGTGGGAGCTCTAAAGGAAAGGCAAGAAAAGTAGGGGAAGCAAAGGAAATGCAGAACAGGGCTGTGATGTGTGTCAAGGGGATTCTGGAAGGGACCCGGGAATATACCCTGTTAGAGTCTCAGGACTAATTGGTGCAGCTGGGGTGGCTGCAACTGGTGGTGGTCATTAAAAACTGAAAACTGGTCAGTTCAAAGAGCTTGAGCCTCCTCCATGGCTTCCCAGTGTCCAGAGTCACTTGTGTTTGTGGGCATGGCGGAGGGGGCCAGAAGTGGTGAGGACACTGAGAAACCAGCACACAATTGCCCTAGGGCACTAATGGAAGCTCCAGCTACAGGAGGCCCTGTGATCTTCCTATTTGCTGCTCAGTACACAGCATAATGGACACTTAGTTATGGGATCTAAAGTAAGCCAAATCTTATTCTGAGCAAGAGAATAATCACATCACAAGCTGGAAGGAGGGAGTAACTATGTCGATTAGACCAACACAGTGAAAAGTTCTGGCTGCTTTTTTCTGTTTCTGCCACTAACCGTTGACACAATTCATGCTAGTCAGAAAGCATGTGCTTACCTATCAGTGAGCTGATGTAATGACTTCATACAGCATAGCTTTGGGTGACGCTCGATCTCCCAGTTGAGCCCTTCTTCTCCTAACATCAGTGACAACTGGATGATATTTTACTGTTTCAGTCTCTTTATGGATTATCTATTTGATCCTCACAGTATCCCAATAATTAGGTACTAGGAATGTAACCGCCCAACTAGTACTTCTTGACTGCTACACAGAAAAGCTGATATAGGCCGGGCGCAGTGGCTTTCACCTGTAATCCTAGCACTTTGGGAGGTGGAGGGAGGTGGATTGCCTGAGGTCAGGAGTTCGAGACCATCCTGAACAACACGGCAAAACCACATCTCTGCTAAAAATACAAAAACTAGCTGGGCATGGTGGCGCATGCCTGTAATCCCAGCTCCTTAGGAGACTGAGGCACGAGGATCGCTTGAACCCAGGAGGTGGAGGTTGCAGTGAGCCGAGATCGTGCCACTGCACTCCAGCCTGGGTGACAGAGTGAGACCCTGCCTCAGAAAAAAAAAATGCTGATATACTGAGACAGTGGTGTTGCAGAGGAAGGGTTTATCGTTTGGCCAGCCAAGCAGGATGGGATACAGTTCTCAAATTCACCTCCCCAAAAGCTTGGAGGCTAGAGTTTTTAAGGATAATTTGGCAGGCATGGGGCTAGGTAATAGGTCCTGCTGATTAATTGGGATGAAATGACAGGCATGTCCAAAGTGTCTTTGCACACTGAGTCAGTTTCTGGGTGGGAGTCATTTCTTTCTTTGAGTCATGGGTCCAGGTGAAGTCAACTGGTCACCAGAATACAAATGTCTGAAAAATATCTCAAAGACCAATCTTAGGTTTTGACAATAGTGATGTTATCTATATGAACAACTGAAGAAGTAACAAATCTTGTAACCTCTGGAACAATGGCTGATTATTGTTTAACTATGCCTATATTTTAGCAGGATTCAACCCCGCCCCCACCTCCCCCGCCCCATAATCCTAATTTTGTGCCTTTCATGAGTCTGACAGAAGAGGTTTTGGTGCCCTAGCAAGGAGGGGGTTAATTTCTGGAGGAACTGTTTCAAAGTTAACAAAGTCTTGTGAGGTTAGAAGCAAGGCAGAGTCAGTTAGGTTAGATTTCTCTCCATGTTACATTTTTTTAAAGATGGTTTCATTAAGATTCCTATATTGCAAAAGAAGAAACTGAAGCTCAGAGAAGATAAGTTACTTACTCAATGTCACACAGTTAATAAATAGTGGAACTAGAACTGAATCAGGCAGTTGATTCTGAGCCCACATTTCTACCCACTAAGCAAAATTCCCACTTAGTCCCAGGAGGATATGACTTGGGCAGGAGTTCTAGCACTTGTTACAATTTGTGTTGTTCATTCAGTTTGTTTTTAATTAGATTATAAACTCCATAAGGGCAGGGAACAGCTGGTCTTGTTCACCACTGAGCCCCCAGATCCTAGTACCCCTTGGCACATAGTAGATATTTCATTCATATTTGGGGCTGAATGAGTAGCTGTGGATCAGGCCATGTAGCCATTTAGTATTTTGCTGATTATACCAGCAGGAGAAGCCAGTGATACAGGCCATTCTCTGGATTTGCATTTCTCACTTATGTGAACTATCTGGGCTCTAGGGAGTGGATTTTGGGGGGATTTACCAGAGTTGTTCCTTCCTTTGCCATTGCTCCTGTCTCCCATAGCGTGCACTCATTCTGTGATTTATTTATTTGGCAGATCTTTAATGAGCACCTATTATGTGCCAGATGCTGTTCCAGGTCGTTCATTGGAACAAGACAGATAAAGATGCCTTCTGACACGGAGCTTGCAATCTATCAGAGGAGCAAACCATGAACAATAAATGAGTAAAATACACAGTGCTTACAGTGGAATAAGTGCTGAGGAAGGTGGACATAAACTGTGAGGGAGATAGGTGGCCAGTAGAGGCCTTATTGAGAAGGTGACATTTGACAAAAGACTGGAGGGAAGTGAGGGGACCAGCCATGCAAACACCTCAGGGAGGAGCTTTCCAGGCAGAAGGACCAGCAGTGCAAATGCCCTCGGGAAAACCATGCAGGGTGTGAGAGGAACAGTGGGGAGGTCAGAGGTCACTGGAGTGAGAGAGGGGAGTGATGAGAGAAGAGTCCCAAGAGGTGATCAGAGCCAGGCTGTGTGAGGTCTTGCAGGTAACAGTTATGACTGGATTTCACTCCGAGTAAGGTGGGAAACCACTGAAAGGTTTTGGCAGGGGACATAATTTGGATTATCCACGTTATCCTGTACTGCAGCTTTTTGCGTATCTGTCTCTGCCTCCATACTGTGGGTTCTCCAAGCTGGGACCATGTATATATTCCCAGTGCTGAGCACAGTGATGGCACATAGTAGATGTTTCAACACATGACCACCAAAGGAAGGAACACATGAAAAATACAGAACAGAATGGAACAAGCTGAATTGGGGTGCAGATGGGGGGCCAGAGGACAGACTAATGCTCTCTGAATTATGGAATGAGGAGTGTTTTACGGAGCAAGTGCCTTTTAATTGAGGCCTAGAAGAATGAGAAGACTTTCCACAGATAGAGGAAGAGGAAAAAGTATATTAGGTTGAGCAAGGAACACAAGCAAAGGTTTGGCAGCATCAAGGTGCAGGACATACTAAGAACATACTGAATCTGCAAATGTTTCGGGTACACAGGATGAGAGGAAGCACACAGTGGTACTGGAGGCCAGAATCAGCCTGGGGCCAGATCTGGAATGTCTTCCATGTCATGCTAAGGAGTTTGGATTTCATACTGCAGGCAATAGGGGGCTACTGCAGGATTCTACAAGTTGGGGGCAGTTTTGGGAGGGATTCAGCCCATTAGGCTTTGGCTTGAGGCCAATGAGGACAGCAGGGAGAGCCAAGAATGGTGCTGCATAAGGGAGGCAGTGCCTCACAGTGTGGCCGCAAGGCAATACTGTTCATTGTGTCAATTATGCATGTAGAAATACTGTCACATTCAGAAGGAAAGAGTTGATGTAATACTTCACAGCAGCCTTTTGGCATTCCCCTTCGTGGAGCCCTCTGACTTTGGACAATGAAAGATTTAGCAGTTTACTCAGATGCATTCCAATGGATGCCTGTGTCCAGCTCGGGAGCAGTGATGATTTCATTACACTGCTCATCCAGCCCATCTAGCCCTTATGTAAAATCAACCAGCCATAAGGCTCCTGGGTTCATTTCCTTTCTTTTTCTGTGCTGGAGGAGACTGGTGGACAGTCAAGACATGACCTGCTCTGCCCCTGGGTGACATGTAACTCAGTTATTATCTAGCCTGGAAGACAAGAATTAGTCATGATGACCTTAGGAGGCTTCTATGGCTCACCAGGCAGGGGGAATGAAAAGGTAGCCATCTGATAGATCTGGCTTCTAAGTATGGGGGAGAAGTGCTGCTTCTGGTGGTGGTAGGGGAAATGGCCTTGGGAGGCCCTTTGAAAATGGAGACGGAAGTCCATGTTACGGTGAAAGCTGTCAGCCATTCCTTTGAGGGAATGGGCTTGTTCCCAGGCTGGAACCTAAGGGTCCCACCTTCCTACCCTGACTCTGTACCACTGAGGCTGTCTCACCTTATCTTTCACTCCAACTTAGTCTACAACTGAAAGGGCTTATTGGCTCCCCCTGCCATACTTCCCCTGTTTCATCATGGAGCAGGCCTGAGCACAGCTTACCAGTGACTTTTCAACCTATGGTGTGGTCTCTGTAATGGTCCCTGGATGTACACAGGTCTCATGGACCCACAGGACACAGATGCAGATGAGCAACACTTTTCAGTATTACATAGCTTTCACAGGTGGGGAGTCAGGGAGCTGGGGCATGGACAGGAATTAAGTGGCTCAGAGAACCCCCAGTGTCAAGTTTTCAGGGAGTTTAAATAAAGAGTCAGCAATTTGGGGAGTGGAGGAAGAAACTTCTCCCTGTAATCACCAGTTTCCTTTCAACTCATTCAGGGCAGAAAAACTAGTATTCCTCTGCTGAGAAGTAGCAGGCTTGCCTGTAATTTACTAAAATGACATGATGGAAGAGAGTTGGGGCCCTGACTCCATGAAATTCCCATGTACCTCCATATAAGGAGTAGAACTCTACCTGAAATGCTGCAGTTGGTTGAGTCAAGGTTGTGGATTGTGTTCTCTTTCACATTGAAGTTAGGAGCAACCACCACAGCATCTCCTCCCTTATTCCCTTAGGAGGTTGCTTAACGACTGAGGCTCATTATCTACATGCCTTTTGTACACTTTGAAGACTAGTTTAAGCTGGCCCACCAGTAGAACCTTCATCATGAATTCAGAGTATGAAGATTAGCTCTAAGCATTTGGGGAAGGGCACAGGCTAGAGTGGGCATGTGAGTCTGGTGGAGAGTGGATCTCTGACTCCACCCCAAGTCCAGATAGAAAACAGTGTTTTGGTTTCCAGGGTTAATAAATAACAGTGTTATGACAATTGGCATTGAACCATTCTGACTTCTAAGTATTGGGGAGGAGGGCTGGTGGTGTTGGTAGGGGAATTATTGATTAAAGACTTTAAATATGCTCCTAAGAATCCCACATCTAGAAATATCTCTTAAGAAATTACAGAATAGGAACAGCTCTGGTCTGCAGCTCCCAGCGTGATTGTCACAGAAGACGGGTGATTTCTGCATTTCTAACTGAGGTAGCTGGTTCATCTCACTGGGACTGGTCGGACAGTGGGTGCAGCCCATGGAGGGCAAGCCAAAGCAGAGTGGGGTGTTGCCTCACCCGGGAAGCACAAGGGGTCAGGGGATTTCCCTTTCTTAGCTAAGAGAAGCTGTGATGGACTGTACCTGGAAAAATGGGACACTCCCACCCAAATACTGCACTTTTCCCATGGTCTTAGCAACCGGCAGACCAGGAGATTCTCTCCCGTGCCTGACTGGACGGGTCCCACACCCACGGAGCCTTGCTCACTGCTAGTGCAGCAGTCTGAGATCGACCTGCAAGGCTGCAGCCTGGCGGGGGGAGGGGCTTCTGTCATTGCTGAGGCTTGAGTAGGTAAACAAAGTGGCTGGGACGCTCAAACTGGGCGGAGCTCAGCAAGGCCTACTGCCTCTATAAACTCCACCTCTGAGGGCAGGGCATAGCTGAACAAAAGGCAGCAGAAACTTTTATAGACTTAACCGTCCCTGTCTGACAGCTCTGAAGAGAGCAGTGGTTCTCCCACCATGGTGTTTGAGCTCTGAGAACAGACAGATTGCCTCCTCAAGTGGGTCCCTGACCCCTGTGTAGCCTAACTGGGAGACACCTCCCAGTAGGGGCCGACTGACACCTCATACAGGCAGGTGCCCCTCTGGAATGAAGCTTCCAGAGGAAGAATCAGGCAGCAATATTTGCTGTTCTGCAATACTTCCTGTTCTGCAGCTTCTGCTGGTGATACCCAGGCAAACAGGGTCTGGAGTGGACCTCCAGAAAACTCCAACAGACCTGCAGCTGAGGGATCTGACTGTTAGAAGGAAAACTAACAAACAGAAAGGAATAGCATCAACATCAGCAAAAAGGACATCCACACCAAAAGCCCATCTCTAGCTCACTAACATCAAAGATCAAAGGTAGATAAAACCACAAAGATGGGGAGAAACCAGAGCAGAAAAGCTGAAAATTTTAAAAACCAGAATGCCTCTTCTCCTCCAAAGGATCGCAGCTCCTCGCCAGCAATGGAACAAAGCTGGACAGAGAATGACTTTGATGAGTTGACAGAAGTAGGCTTCAGAAGGTCAGTAATAACAAAATTCTCTGAGCTAAAGGAGCATGTCCTAACCCATCGCAAGGATGCTAAAAACCTTGAAAAAAGGTTAGACGAATGGCTAACTAGGATAAACAGTGTAGAGAAGACCTTAAATCACTCGATGGAGCTGAAAACTATGGCACGAGAACTACGTGATGCATGCACAAGTTTCAATAGCCAATTTGATCAAGTGGAAGAAAGAATATCAGTGTTTGAAGATCAAATTAATGAAATAAAGTGAGAAGACAAGATTAGAGAAAAAAGAGTAAAAAGAAACGAACAAAGCCTCCAAGAAATATGCGACTATGTGAAAAGACCAAATCTACATTTGATTGGTGTACCTGAAAGTGACAGGGAGAATGGAACCAAGTTGGAAAACACTCTTCAGGTTATTATCCAGGAGGACTTCCCCAACCCAGCAAGGCAGGCCAACTTTCAAATTCAGGAAATACAGAGAACGCCACAAAGTTACTCCTTGAGAAGAACAACCCCAAGACACATAATTGTCAGATTCACCAAGGTTGAAATGAAGGAAAAAATGTTAAGGGCAGCGAGAGAGAAAGGTCGGGTTACCCACAAAGGGAAGCCCATCAGACTAACAGCACATCTCTTGGCAGAAACCCTACAAGCCAGAAGAGAGTAGGGGCCAATATTCAACATTCTTAAAGAAAAGAAAATAATTTTCAACCCAGAATTTCATATCCTGCCAAACTAATCTTCATAAGTGAAGGAGAAATAAAATCCTTTACAGACAAGAAAATGCTGAGAGATTGTGTCACCACCAGGCCTGCCTTACAAGAGCTCCTGAAGGAAGCACTAAACATGGAAAGGAACAACCAGTACCAGCCACTGCAAAAACATGCCAAATTGTAAAGACCGTCTATGCTATAAAGAAACTGCATCAATTCATCGGCAAAATAACCAGCTAATATCATAATGACAAGATCGAATTCACACATAACAATATTAATCTTAAATGTATATGGGCTAAATGCCCCAGACACAGACTGGCAAATTGGATAAAAAGTCAAGACCCATCAGTGTGCTGTACTCAGGAGACCCAACTCATGTGCAGAGACACACATAGGCTCAAAATAAAGGGATGGAGGAAGATCTACCAAGCAAATGGAAAGCCAAAAAAAGCAGGGGTTGCAATCCTAGTCTCTGATAAAACAGACTTTAAACCAACAAAGATCAAAAGAGACAAAGAAGGCCATTACATAATGGTAAAGGGATCAATTCAACAAGAAGAGCTAACTATCTTAAATATATATGTACCCAATACAGGAGCACCCAGATTCATAAAGCAAGTTCTTAGAGACGTACAAAGAGACTTAGACTCCCAAACAATAATAATGGGAGACTTTAACACCCCACTGTCCATATTAGACAGATCAACGAGACAGAAGGTTAACAAGGATATCCAGGACTTGAACTCAGCTCTGCACCAAGCAGACCTAATAGACATCTACAAAACTCTCCACCCCAAATCAACAGAATATACATTCTTCTCAGCACCACATCGCACTTATTCTAAAATTGACCACATAATTGGAAGTAAAACATCCCTTAGCAAATGTAAAAGAACAGAAATCACAACAAACTGTCTCTCAGACCACAGTGCAATCAAATTAGAACTCAGGATTAAGAAACTCACTCAAAACCACACAACTACATGGAAATTGAACAACCTGCTCCTGAATGACTACTGGGTACATAACGAAAAGAAGGCAGAAATAAAGATGTTCTTTGAAACCAGTGAGAACAAAGACACAACATATCAGAATCTCTGGGATACATTTAAAGCAGTGTGTAGAGAGAAATTTATAACACTAAATGCCCACAAGAGAAAGCAGGAAAGATCTAAAATTCACACACTAACATCACAATTAAAAGAACTAGAGAAGCAAAAACAAACAAATTCAAAAGCTAGCAGAATGCAAGAAATAACTAAGATCAGAGCAGAACTGAAGGAGATAGAGACACAAAAAAACCTTCAAAAAATCAATGAATCCAGGAGCTGGTGTTTTGAAATGATCAACAAAATTGATAGACTGCTAGCAAGACTAATAAAGAAGAAAAGAGAGAAGAATCAAATAGAAGCAATAAAAAATGATAAAGGGGATATCATCACCGATCCCACAGAATTACAAACTACCATCAGAGAATACTATAAACACCTGTACGCAAATAAACTAGAAACTCTAGAAGAAATGGATAAATTCCTGGACACATACACCCTCCCAAGACTAAACCAGGAAGAAGTTGAATCTCTAAATAGACCAATAACAGGCTCTGAAATTGAGGCAATAATTAATAGCCTACCAACAAAAAAAAGTCCAGGACCAGACGGATTCACAGCCAAATTCTACCAGAGGTACAAAGAGGAGCTGGTACCATTCCTTCTGAAACTATTCCAATCAATAGAAAAAGAGAAAATCCTCCCTAACTTATTTTATGAGCTCATCATCATCCTGATACCAAAGCCTGGCAGAAAAAAGAGAATTTTAGACCAATATCCCTGATGAACGTCAATGCGAAAATCCTCAAAAAATGCTGGCAAACCGAATCCAGCAGCACATCAAAAAGCTTATCCACCATGATCAAGTTGGCTTCATCCAACCAAGGCTGGTTCAACATATGCAAATCAATGAATGTAATCCATCACATAAACAGAACCAATGACTAAAACCACATGATTATCTCAATAGATGCAGAGGCACAGGTATACAGATGTAACAAACCTGCATGTTGTGCACAAGTACCCTAGAACTTAAAGTATAATAATAATAAAAAAGAAAAGGCCTTTGACAAAATTCAACAACCCTTCATGCTAAAAACTCTCAAGAAATTAGGTATTGATGGAACGTATCTCAAAATAATAAGAGCTATTTATGACATACCCACAGCCAATATCATACTGAATGGGCAAGAACTGGAAGCATTCCCTTTGAAAACCAGCACAAGACAAGGATGACCTCTCACCACTCCTAGTCAACATAGTGTTGGAAGTTCTGGCCAGGGCAATCAGGCAAGAGAAAGAAATAAAGGGTATTCAATTAGGAAAAGAGGAAGTCAAATTGTCCCTGTTTGCAGATGACATGATTGTATATTTAGAAAACCCCATCATCTCAGCCCTAAATCTCCTTAAGCTGATAAGCAACTTCAGTAAAGTCTCAGGATACAAAATCAATGTGCAAAAATCACAAGCATTCCTATACACCAATAACAGACAGAGAGCCAAATCACGAGTGAACTCCCATTCACAATTGCTACAAAGAGAATAAAATACCTAGGCATCCAACTTACAAGGGTTGTGAAGGACCTTTTCAAGGAGAACTACAAACCACTTCTCAACGAAATAAAAGAGGACACAAACAAATGGAAGAACATTCCATGCTCACAGGTAGGAAGAATCAATATCGTGAAAATGGCCATACTGCCCAAGGTAATTTATAGATCCAATGCTATCCCCATCAATCTACCACTGACTTTCTTCACAGAATTGGAAAAAACTACTTTAAAGTTCATATGGAACCAAAAAAAGAACCTGTATTGCAAAGACAATCCTAAGCAAAAAGAACAAAGCTGGAGGCATCACGCTACCCAACTTCAAACTATACTACAAGGCTACAGTAACCAAAACAGCATGGTACTGGTACAACAGATATATAGACCAATGAAACAGAACAGAGACCTCAGAAATAACACCACACATCTACAACCATCTGATCTTTGACAAACCTGACAAAAACAAGAAATGGGGAAACTATTCCCTATTTAATAAATGTTGCTGGGGAAACCGGCTAGCCATATGTAGAAAGCTGAAATTGAAAGCCTTCCTTACACCTTATACAAAAATTAATTCAAGATGGACTGAAGACTTAAATCTTAGACCTAAAACCATAACAACCCTAGAAGAAAGCCTAGGCAATACCATTCAGGACATAGGCATGGGCAAGGACTTCATGACTAAAACACCAAAAGCAATGGCAACAAAAGCCAAAATAGACAAATGGGATCTAATTAAACTAAAGAGCTTCTGCACGGCAAAAGAAAGTACCATTGGAGTGAACAGGCAACCTACAGAATGGGAGAAAAGTTTTGCAATCTACCCATCTGACAAAGGGCTAATATCCAGAATCTACAAAGAACTCAAATTTACAAGAAAAAAACAAACAACCCTATCAAGAAGTGGGCAAGGAATATGAACAGACACTTCTCAAAAGAAGACATTTATGCAGCCAACAGACACATCAAAAAATGCTCATCATCTCTGGTCATCAGAGAAATGCAAATCAAAACCACAATGAGATACCATTTCACACCAGTTAGAATGGCAGTCATTAAAAAGTCAGGAAGGCCGGGCGTGGTGGCTTATGCCTGTAATCCCAGCACTTTGGGAGGCTGACATGGGCAGATCACGAGGTCAGGAGATCGAGACCATCCTGGCTAACATGGTGAAACCCCGTCTCTACTAAAAAAACAAAAAAATTGGCTAGGCGTGGTGGCAGGCACCTGTAATCCCAGCTACTTGGGAGGCTGAGGCAGGAGAATGGTGTGAACCTGGGAGGTGGAGCTTGCAGTGGGCCAAGATTGCACCACTGCACTTCAGCCTGGGTGACGGAGTGAGACTCCAACTCAAAAAAAAAAAAAAAAGTCAGGAAACAACAGATGCTGGAGAGGATGTGGAGAAATAGGAATGCTTTTACACTGTTGGGAGTATAAATTAGTTCAACCATTGTGGGAGACAGTGTGGCAATTCCTCAAGGATCTAGAACTAGAAATACCATTTGACCCAGCGATTCCGCTACTGGGTATATACCCAAAGAATTATAAATCATGCTACTATAAAGACACATGCATATGTTTATTGTGGCACTATTCACAATAGCAAAGACTTGGAATCAACCCAAATGTCCATCAATGATAGGCTGGATTAAGAAAATGTGGCACATATACACCATGGAATACTATGCCGCCATAAAAAATGATGAGTTCATGTCCTTTGCAGAGACACGGATGAAGCTGGAAACCATTATTCTCAGCAAACTGTCCCAAGGACAGAAAGCCAAACACTGCATGTTTTCACTCATAGGTGGGAACTGAACAATGGGAACACTTGGACACAGGGCAGGGAACATCACACACTGGGGTCTGTTGTGGGGTAGGGGGCTGGGGGAGGGATAACATTAGGAGAAATACCTAATGTAAATGACGAGTTGATGGGTGCAGCAAACCAACATGGCACATGTATACCTGTGTAACAAACCTGCATGTTGTGCACATGTACCCTAGAACTTAAAGTATAATAATAAAAAAAGAAATTACAGATACAGTAAGTATTTAAGGCAAGGATGTTTATTATAGTAATATTTATAATAGTAAAAATAAGTCTTTAAAATTTGCTATTTCAGAATATCTGATAACATGAGAACATATTTGCAGTATTAAAAACAAATAATTATGAAATCTTTTATATAGAAAATTACAGCAAATATAACAAACATCCATATACCCTCCAGCCAAATTTAACAAATGTTGACAGTTTGCCATATTTACTTAAGAATGTTTTAAGAAATAAAAGGTTGCATATATCATTGAGTCCTCTTTTATAGTCTTCCCTTCCCTACTGCTCCATAGATAACTATGGAGTTATCTGAAATTGGTACATACTCTTCTTATTCAGAAGTTATACCTTTACTACATATATTTATCTATATAAAAATATATAGCATTTTAAAATAATTTACAAAATTTTTAATCTCTATCTATGTGTTTTCATTCAACACAATTTCCAAGATTTACTTAGTTTGATATGTGGATAAAATTGTTTTTTATTGCTATGTGTAGTGTTTGAACTACACAAATATATTTAATACACATTTGAAATTGGATTATACCAGTTCAATGATTATCTCTAAATGAACATACTCATCTAAGTACAACCCGGCTGAAGGAATAGAACATTATAGAATGTTGCCTGTACCCCAAAAACTCTCCTTTATGTTCATTTCCAACAACTATGCTTTTTTCCCCCTGAAAAGTAGCCACTGGCATGATTTTAATGACATAATTTTGCCAGTTTTTGAACATTACGTGAAAGAAATCATGTGGTGCTATACATTTGCCAATTATGTGTTTCATTCTTCTCATTCCTTGCTGATTTTATTGGGTCCATTATCAGCTATGGAGAGAGATTTATTAAACTCTTCTGCTACGAGTGTGAATTTGTCATCTTTCCCTTTAATTCTGTCAATTTTTGCTTTTTTAAAGAAATATTTTAAAACTATGTTGTCGCACACAGATAGATTTAGAATTGTGATAGCTTTCTGGTGAATTAACATTTATGAGTATGAAATACTCCTCTTTAACTTTAGTAACTTTTTGCTTTAAGGTCTATTTTTCTGCTACTAGGATGGCCATTCCAGTTTTCATTTGGTTAGACTTTGGATATCTTTTCCACTCTGATTTTCTTTCTATATCTTTTCCACTCTTTGATTTATGAAGGGCAGATTTACTTGATATAGTATTCTTGGCTGACAGTTTTTTTTTTTTCTTTCAGCACTTTGAATATATCATCCCATTCTCATGCCATTCTCTCCTGGCTTGCAAGGTTTCTCTTGAGAAATCTATTGATAGCCTAATAGTGATTCTCTTATATGTGACTTGATGCTTTTCTCTTGCTGCTTTCAAAATGCTCATTTTGTTACTTTTGACAGTTTAGTTATAATATGTCTTGAGGAGGACCTCTTTTGGTTGAACCTCTTTGAGCTTCATGGATCTGGATGTCTATATCTCTCCCAAGACTTGGGAAGTTTTCAGCAATTATTTAATTAAAGAAGTTTTTATCCCTTTCTCTGTCTCTTCTTCTGGAACATAAGTAATGCAAGAGTTATTTTGCTTAATGGCATCCAATAAGTCAGGCAGGCCATCTTACTTTTTTATTTTCTTTCCTTTTCCCCTACCCCGAGTAATTTCAAAAAACCTATTATCAAGTTCACAGATTCTTCTGCATGATTTAGTCTGCTGTTGAATCTCTCTACTGTATTTTTTGTTTCATTTATTGCATTCTTCAGCTACAAGATTTCTGTTTGGTTCTCTTTTATAATATCTATCTCTTGGTTGAATTTCTCAGTCAGATCATGAATTGTTTCCTTGAGTTTTTTGAGTTGTCCATCTGTATCCTGAATCTCATATCTTGCTGAATTTTCTTAAAAATATTATTTTGAACTCCTTTTCAGGCAATTGATAAATTTTCTTTTCTTTGAGGTCAGTCACTAGAGAATTATTGTGTTCCTTTGGTGGTGTCATGTTTTCTTGCTTTTTCATGTTTCTTTTATCCTTGTATTGATGTCTGTGCATCTGGTGGAACAGTCACCTCTTCCAAAATTTACAGAGTGTCTTTTGTAGGTAAAGACTTTCACCTGCAGGTGGGTCTTAAGGTGCTGTTTGGGCAGGGTGTGGTGGCCCTGATTCCAAGTGGAGGCAGTGGTATAGTCTCTGTGCAGCTTCTTCAGCTGCAGTCAAGGTCAAGAATGACTGTGGGCACCTCACCGGCCTAGGCTGCCAGAGTTTGTGACAGCAGTGGCAGAAGTGTGTGCTGTTAGAGTTCTCAGTAGCAAGAGCTTTTAGGGTCCTCCCATTCTCATTTCCTCCATAAGAAGAGTCTTAGGTGAGGGCATCTCTCCTCATGTTGGGTCTGGCATGGCCCACAAGTGGCTGCAGTGGTGCTAGGTTCCAGGGTACAGGTGCTCAGAGTGGCTTTAAAACCTGAGTTTGGGCTCACGGTCTCACAAACCTACTGTGGCAGCTGGCACTTGGAGTGAAGGTTCACTCTCTGAGGCATAGGTAGATGCAGATGGTCAATAAAGCTGGTGTCTGTGGCTTTGAGGTACACTCCAGCAGCTCGGGCTCATTAGGCTGGATGGTAGCTCTGACTCCGACCCTGAAGGGCAGGGCACAGCACTGGCTCAGCTCCAGGGGAGAAGGGGTGCTCTGGAGATTCAGGTCCATGAGCAGAGAACAGCTATAATTTGGGAAATGGAGCCAATAGGGCACAGCAGTAACTCAGGTCCTGGACGATAAGGCACTGTGTAGTGGTGACTCTGGACCCAGGGATGATGAGACAACATAGCCGTGTCCCTGGCTCCATGAGACAGCAAGGACCAGGAATGGCAGAGTTCAGCTGTGGCTTGGGCCCCAGGGGACATGGAGCAGCACAGCAATGGCTCCACTTTCCAAGGAGGCAGGGTGCCTCAGCAGCTCAGAATCTTGTGGTGTCAAGGGCGAGAGGTAGTCCAGTTCCAAGAAGACAAGGTTCTACAGTTGTTTGGCCTGGTAGGTGGTCTCAGCTCACTCAATGCTGTTTTCTTGGGATGCAAGGTGCCATGTCAATTCAGCCCTGGGATGTACAGCTGCCAGGCTCATCCAAGGCACTGATTCCCTGGGAGGTAGGGCATTACTTCAGCTCAGGTGCTGGGGGTGTGACTACCCTGAGTAGCCAAGGCAAGAATTCCCTGGAAGACACAGTGCCACTTCAGCTCCAGCACCAGGGAGTGTGACTGCTCTGGGTAGCCAAGGCATTGATGCCCTGGGAGATGGGTGCTGCTTCAGCTCAGGGCCTGAGAGGCAGGGTGTAGCAGCAACTGGGAGGGTGGATGAAGTCGTTCTGGTTCCAGTGCAGCTTGTTGCCTCTGGTTAGCTCCTGATCCTGGGGCATAGACCTCCAGGGTTTCTAATTGATTCTCTGAAATGTTCACTGAGACATGTTCCCCGGGCAGGCCCTAAATTCTAATCTTTCTCTCCTCAACACCATAAAACTGCCCAAAATTCTCTGCTTGAAATTTTAGCCATATTCCTTGTACAGTTACAGAATTTAGCCAACTTATTGAGGCAAAACAAACCACATTTTTGAGAGTCCTCAAGTCTCCAATTTTAATCAATTACACCTCGTAAGACTTCTGAAGCTCTGATGGTTTCTCAATCACCTGGGAGTGACTCACTGCCTGGGCAAAGTTTCTCAGCTTTTTACCTATTCACAGAATTGACAGAGATCGCCAGCTTCCTCTCTGCAGATTCCCCTCCCCAGAATCTGATCCTGTATAGTCTTCATTGGCTCCTAGGCTCTGTGATGCCTTTAACTATGGCTCTTGCATATTGATCTGCTTTTCTAATCACATTCTATGGTGCAATGATCTGCCACAGCTATTTCCCCAGTAAAGACAGCTCTCTAGCCTTCTCTATTATCTACCTTTTTAAGGGTGAAACAGTGTTTGAAAAATGTAGGGATAATTTGAGGTTTTATGTGATGTTATCTTCCATCAGAGGAAGGTTTGCTTCTGGCTGTTAGCTAGTCAAAGGTTAGATTGAATTGACATGATTTGAAGCTTGGCTTCATTCTTTGTGAGGGTGGATTTACTCTTATAACTAGAGCACAGGCCTTTGGGGTCCCAGCAGAATTCCTGGGGTGTTACCAGGATCCCTCCTCCCGAGTGAATCCTGACCTCCATTTTGGTTACATTGCCTCACCAGACGGCTGAAAGCTCATTGATTTATCAGTCCCCTGTCACTCTTCTTGCTTATGGAATCTACCTGTTGCTTTGAGGGGCAGAGAGGCCCCAAATTCCAGGTTCATTTCTCTTGATTTCCTTCCTCTTTCAGATTGTAACACCACAAAGTTTCATTGCTTTGACCATTTTTCAGAAGCCTTCAAACATATTTTGTTATATGTTATCCAGCTTTTCTAGTTCTCGGGGAGGGTTGGTCCAAAACCAACCTAGTCTGTCCATACAGGAAGTGGAATTGTCAACAATATATAATTTATGTGCTGTATGGTACTAACTTGGCTAAAACTAAAAGCATGTGCTATGGTTTCAATGTTTTGGAAACTTTAATCGCCAAATTCATATGTTGATGGTATTTAGAGGTGGGGCCTTTGGGAGGTAACTAGGATGAGATAAAGTCATCAGGGTGGGCCCATGATGGGACTGGTGGCTTTATAAGAGAAGGGAGATCTGAACTGGCATGCTCTTGCCTTCTTGCCACATAATGACTTCTGTCATTATAATGCAGGAAGTAGGCTCTCACCAGATGCTGGCACCTTCACGTTAGACTCCCCAGCCTCCAGAACTTAAGAAATAAATGTCTTTTCTTGATAAATTACCTGGTATCAGGTATTCAGTTATAGCAACAGAAAATGGACTAAGACAGTATGTATGTACAGTTGGCCCTCTGTATCCATGGGTTCTGCATCCATGGATGCAACCAACTGAGGATGGAATATACAGTCATGCATTACTTAACAATAGGGATACATTCTGAGAAATGCATTGTTAGACAATTTCATCATTGTGCAAACATCAGAATGTGCTTACACAAACCTAGATGGTAGAGCCTACTCCACACCTAGGCTATGTGGGATAGCCTATTGCTCCTAGGCTACAAAACTGTAAAGTATGTGACTGTATTGAACATTGTAGGCAGTTGTAACACCATGGTAAGTATTTGTGTATCTAAACACAGAAAAGGTGAAATAAAAATACAATATAAAAGATACAAAGTGGTATACGTGTATAGGGTACTTTTCATGAATGGAGCTTGCAGGACTGAAATTGCTCTGGGTGAGTCAGTGAGTGAGTGGTGAGTGAACGTGAAGGCCTAGGACATTGCTGTATGCTACAGTAGGCTTTGTAAACACTGTAGACTTAGGCTGCACTGTTTATTTCTAAAAGTTATTCTTCCTTCAATAATAAATTACCCTTAGCCTACTGTAACTTTAGTTTATAAACTTTAAAATTTTAAAAAACTTTTTGACTTTTTTGTAATAACACTTAGCTTAAAACACAAATATATTTTACAGCTCTACAAAATACTTTCTTTGTTTCTTATTCTATTAATATAAGCTTTTTCTATTCTTTAATTCTTTAATTTTAATTTTGACTTCTTAAACCTTATTATTAAAAACAAAGATACAAATCACACATTAGCTTAGGCTTATACAAGCTCAGGATAATCAACATCACCGTCTTCCACCTCCACGTCTTGTCCCATTGGAAGGTCTTTAGAAGCAATAACATGCATTGAGCTGTCATCTCCTATGATAACAATGCCTCCTTCTGGAATACCTCTGAAAGGACCACCACAAACACATGAGTAATGTACTGCCCTACAATGTTATGAGAGCTATGATGTTACTAGGTGACCAGAAATTTTCAGCTGCATTATAATCTTATGGAACCATCGTTACATATGCAGTTTGTCATTGACCAAAATGTCATTATGCAGTAAATGACTATTCAGAAAAAAACACAATACAATACAAAATAATAGAAATAAAAAAGACAGTATAACTATTTACATAGCATTTACATTATATTGTAATCTAGAGATGATTTAAAGTATACAGGAGGGCACATGTAGGTTATATGCAAATACTACACCATTTTATATAAGGGACTTGAGCATCCACAGATTTTGGTATGCACAGGGGTCCTGGAACCAGTTCCCCTCAGGCTACTGAGGGACAACTGTCTATGAGAAAGATATAGGTCAAATAGTTAATGGTGGTTGTCTTTGAATGATTGAATTATAGATGATTTCCATATTGTCTCTGTGTTTCCTGTATTTTCCAAATTTTCTATAATAAATATGAGTCTTTTCATATTTAAAAGCAAATTTTGAAAAAGATGACAGCCAGGAAATAGCAGGCAGAGGAAGAAAGCTGGCAAAAAGGATCATACCTTCAGAGCATACAGGAGTAACGAGCCCAGTTTCTTCCTACTGCACCCTCCCAGCGCAGTCACACAGTACTTCTGACACCAGACATGTGTTTGCGGGGTGGAGTTTCTTCCCACCAGCCAGCAAGCAATCTTCCAGCAGCGAACACCAGCTGGGTGTCCTCCACTTTAGTTCAATTCCAACACTATCTACCTGGAGCTAGCATCAGAGCCCACAGGTGACGGCTCAGTCCTATGAGAATGTCCCCCACTTCCGATGCCAATCACAAGTTCCAGGTTGTTTTACCTGTGCTTCTGACCCACTGGCTATAGATCAGGGTTCCCACAGCCCACTCCTTGTGTGCAGTTAGTTTGCTAGAGTGGCTCACAGAGCTCAGGGAAATACTGAGTTTATTGTAAAGTCTATTACAAAGGGTACAGATGAAGAGATGCTAGCGAATGGCAGGTGGGCAGGGGTGTGGAGCTTCGATGCCCTCCTTGGGTGCCACCCTCCAGGAATCTTCACGTGTTCAGCTATCTGGAAGCTCTTCAAACCCTGTTGGGGTTGGTATGGAAGTCCTTTTGGGTGTTTATAGAGGCTTTATTATGTAGGCATGACTGATTAAATCATTGGTCATTGGTGATCAACTTAACCTTCAGCTCCTCTCCTTTCTCTGGAGGCTGGGGAATGGGGCTGAAAGTCCCAATCCTCTCATCCAGCCTGGGTCTTGATGACCACCCCCCATTCTGAAGCTACTTAGGGGCTGTCAGCCACCAGTCAACTCCTTGGCATACAAAAAGACATCACTATGGAGACTTGGAGTTGTATGCCAGGAAACTGGATAAAGACCAAATATATATATTTCGCCATATCACAATACCCCAGGAACTGAAAAATAAGATCTCCCATGAGACCCATTGAATAATGGATGATGGAAGGTGGGCTACAGAAATGATTGCAAAATAACACCTAAGAGCTAGAAAGGACTTAGTACATCTTCTCCAAACTCTTCATTGTCATTGTACATGTGCAGACATGGAGGCTCATGAGGCTGTGTGGCTTGCCATCTAGTTAGTGAAAATGCTGGGTCAGGAACCAGGTCCCCTGATTCCCAGGCTGGTGCTCTTTCCAGAGGAATTTGTGGAGTAAGTGCAGACTGGGGGAAGTCACAGGGCTCTCCTTCCCAGGACTGGGACCATAGCTTTGGGCTAGAACTGCTAGTGAAGGGTCACCTGGTCTAGCTGGACCTTCCCAGGCAGAAGCACCACCAGGGCCATGCCTGTTGGTGGGAAGCCCTGCCCCCTCTACCCCTTATTTTATTTCCATTTTTTTGAAGAGAGGTTAGCTTCAACAAGGGATGGCAGTGTCTATGAGACACCTTTCCAGCGCAGCATTCAAAAATTTCCTCAGAGCTGGGCGTGGTGGCTCACGCCTGTGATCCTAGTACTTTGAGAGGCTGAGGCAGTTGGATCACTTGAGGTTAGGAGTTTGAGACTAGCCTAGGCAGCATGGTGAAACCCTATCTCTACTAAAAATTCAAAAATTAGCTGGGTGTGGTGCACGTGCCTATAGTTCCAGCTACTCGGGAGGCTGAGGCATAAGAATCACTTGAACCCGGGGAGGAGGGGGGTGCAGTGAGCCGAGACGGTGCCACTGCACTCCAGCCTGGACAATGGAGCAAGATCCTGTCTCAAAAAAAAAAAAAGTCTCCTCGGCCTGCCCAGGTCATAAACTTACTGCCCCCAAATATGTTTGTGTCTTTGCTCACTTGCTCTTCTATCAAGAGCATCGTTCCCCCTCCCTTTCTCCTACCTACTCCTCAAGGTTTAATTCTAATCTTCAGCTTCTTCAGCTAGCAGAGTCTGTGCCTCTGATTTGGAAAGAGTTCTCCAGGCTTTGTATTTTCTTTGGCTGATGTCGTGTTTCCTTGCAGAGGCCATGAGGTCTGGAAGGCAGGAATCAATTCTCCCACATGGAGGCATGCTCCCGGGCGTAGAGGACAATGTCTCGCATGAAGCGGGCACTAAGTAAACACTCATGGAGTGATTGATGGGCTGTTTGAGAGAAATGTGCTCGTGAGAGTCTGGGGCACATCTGGAAAGAGCTGAGAGAGGATTTTCAGGAGGAGCAGGCAGCACAGAACTTGCTGCAGGAGCCTGCCAAAGGCTTTGTGCTGCCTGGTTTTTCCTCCCTTGATCCTGGTGTCAGTTTCAGAAAGACTTAAGTGGATCCTGCATCAGGAGGGAGCAGACACCGGAGAAAGAAAAACAAGTTGTGCTGTTTGAGGTAAAGAGAATGTCAGGGGGAAGCATTGTAATGGGAACCCAGGTCTGGAGAGACTGGAAATTGCCTGGAGAGAGATTGAGCCCCTGCAGGTTTCAGCCCCTTTTCTCAGGTGCAGGGTGGGCTGGCCCTGAGAACAAATAACTGGAATATGAATTTGGGCAGAGAACAAACAGCCTGTGAGATTTCTGGTGGCAAATAATAATGATAAACCAATGTGCTGGGTATGGAGAAGGGGATACTTCCAGTTCTTTAGCAAAAGGAGCCTTTTCAAGGGAACTGTTACATGGATCTGAAGCCAGAGTTTTTCAGGTTTTCAGTGGCTTCCATTAGGTACCTGGGCAGAGGCATATAATGGAGTAGAGAGGTCTAGGAGATTTATAAACCAAGGATGTTTGAATGAGAGACGTGGAGTACATAGATCTTGGAGTCTCTTCCTTGCAGCATAGAGGTTTACTGGGGGGAAAGGATTTCAAGTCTATCCTATTAGAATTAGCTGGTGTAACAATCAAATATCAAAGAGCAACATAGGGATGGGGCGAGAGGATGAGTCTTGTCTTCACCTTGTCTGGGAGATTTTTGGCAGATTCTCGGAGGTTAAGCTCAAGGAATTAACTTTCATAAAAGCTAGTCACTCAATATGAGCTAATTCAAGAAATTGCCGGGAATGCAGAGACATGTCCAGTTCTCGTGTTATTCACAAAAGAATAAAAACCCTCAGGTTTTGGAAGTAGCTTTTTTTTTTTTTTTTTTTTTGTGATGGAGTCTTGCTCTGTCACCCAGGCTGGAGTGCAGTGGTGCAATCTCAGCTCACTGCAGTCTCCACTTCCCTGGTTCAAGGGATTCTCATGCCTCAGCCTCTCAAGTAGCTGGGACTACAGGCAAGCGCCACCACACTTGGCTAATTTTTGTATTTTCAGTAGAGACAGGGTTTTGCCATGTTGGCCAGACTGGTCCTGAACTCCTTACCTCAAGTGATCCGCACGCCTTGGCCTCCCAAAGTATTAGGATTACAAACGTGACCCAGCGCACCCAGCTGGAAGTAGCTTTGAAAGGGCTTCCAGAGCATCTCATTTTGATGTTATAAATGTTTAGGGAGGGTGAGGAAGAGGAGCTGGGCAGAGTAGGAGAAACTTTATGTATCATCGAAGTAGCATGACATAATTTAAAGGGGGTTGGTAATTTCACCTCAGCTTAACATATGAACCACTCTCAGGAACTAGTTTCTGAAACTTCACCATCAGGCCTTCGTTCCATATTGTCACTCACACATCTCTCTAGTGAGGCTTCGAGAATTATTCTTCTCATCACTGAAGGGGCTTAGAATGGCACCTGGCAAGAGAAGAAGAATAAGAGATCAAAATCTCACCTACTCAACTTGTTTTTCCTTGAGTAACTTTGGATGTGCTTTATCTTCAGAGAGGCCTTATTTGAAGCCACCTGCCTGGTTTCACATCCCAGCTCTGCTGCTTACCAGCTGGGGAACTTGGGGCCAGATATTTAGCCTCTTTGTACCTGGATTTCCCTACCTGTAAAATGAAGAAAAATAATGGTTGCTACTTCATGCAGTTGTTGTGAGGAGTAAATGAGTTAACGCATGCAGATGCTTAGAACAGTTCCTGGCACATAGTAAGTGCTCAATAAACATTTTCTATCATTCTTATTAGCTTTCACGATGGTGGCACCTGTTGCTCTGAAAGAATTTCCCATCTAAGCCCCAGCCAACTGCAGAAGAGCCCATAGCTGAGGCTGCCAGAGGAGGCAAACATTTCTGAGTTTTCCATTTCTCAAGTGCAAACACTTTGAAAGGCTCTTCAGCCCTTTCTTAAGCAAACTTCATAGCTTATTCTAAGCCCTGCATTTAAGGGAATTGCTAGATATTTCAGAGGCAATTTTTGCTCTTTTTTTTTTTTTTTAAGTGACCATGAACTGAGAGTGGCTAAGGAAAATGCTTCTGGCAGGACAGTGCCAGCCTTGGTTCTAGTCATACTTAGAGCAGATAATGGTCCATATAAGCGATAGAATGGGCTAAGATTCCAAGCTGGTCCACCCAATGGCTGCTGATGCCAGTGAACAGAAAGTCTTAAAATGGATGCCGCAGTTGGCATCCTGTGGCAATCTTCCCCCATCCTGTGCCTTCAAAGCTGCCGTGTATGTAGGTGGAAATTATTTTAATTGCCAACCTTACCTTGCACCTATTCACTGACTGCTAACTTCCCCTCTCTCCCACTCCCCTGCCCTGCTTTCCCTGCCCCTGCCTGAGTTGCTCTGCCGGTTTCTCTTTTAGGACATGGCTGGAGCAGACCCAGCAAGGCAGAGTCTCCAGTGCCTTTTGTCTCCTCTGGAGAAAGCGTGGGTGGGGCTGGGCTGGTTGCTTCAAGAGGAAAAGGATGAGGGTGTGCTGGGTAACAGGTGTGCAGAAATGGTGACGTGTCATTTAAACAATGGAGGATTTAAAGGGTAAGAGATGGGTAGAAAATGTACCAAGATATTTTGAGGGCTAAATTTGTTCTGGAAGTTAAATGCGTAGAACCTGATGAATCAGAAGAACAAGAGCCACTTAAGATTTTTAAAACCGTTGTGTTGCCCAGGTGATTCACAGGTGTTTTGTGTATGGTTGGTTATTAACAGTAAACATTTACGTAGCAGTTCACCTCCTCACATTTCATTCATAAACCCCTGGAATGTTAGTGATGGCCAGCAAACCAAGACCCAGATTTGCTCAAGGCCACTGAATTAGTTTGCAGCTGAACCAATGGGAGAGCCCAGGTCTCCTGGCTTTGTTCTGCTACCTGCCAGGGGCTTCCTCCTTGCTCAGTTAACTTGCTTTGTAACACCTGGTGATGAAGTCAGAAGCTGACTGGCCACAGCTTTCAGCTGGAGGAACAGAGAGGCAGGAAAGGGAGTGATCCACACTGACGAAGCAAGAGGCTGTATTTGACCTTTCCATTTCCAGACATCCTTCCTGAGCCCTCAACTCCAGAAGCATCACACTTTCTTTTACCTGTTTATCTACTAGGGTTGTCTCTCTTAGAGCTCTCAGCTGTCCAAGCAGCTTGACTTTTCCCCTTTGCCCCCTCCCTACCCACCTTGTGTCTAATCAATCACCGATACCTTGAATTCCACCTGTTTAGTATTTGACTCGCTCACTTTTCTCCATCTGCACTATGACCCCTTGCCTACCAGAAGCCTATTGATAAGCCTCTTCACATCCACTCTTTATTCCCTCCTATCCATTCTCCCACTTCCTAAAAGGTTACTCCCCTGCTGAAAACCCTTCCAAGCTCCCAGCAGCCTCTGGTTAAATGAAGCCCCCCCACCTTAGCACAAGGCTCCTGCCCCCTCCCAACTTGTCCATTGCTCGGCCTCGTACAGCTCCCCAGCCAGAAGGTTGCTCAGTTCCCTAACCTCATTGTGCTGTGGATACTTTGGTGATGGGGCCAGAGGGAGCCAGAGAAAGATCACAGGAATGGGGAGAGAGGGGGAAAGGCTGAGCCTGGCTGTACTGAACCATCTGTCAGCATGGAAACACCTGCTTTGTATTGGATATTCTCAACCTAGAGGGCACCGTCTTCAGATTCAGAGGTGGGTGGCACCTATCAAAGCAAGGCTGCAAACGAAGCTCTCTCTCTCTCCATATAGCTTGTCCTGATTTGATGAGCAAAGCACAGCGACCCATGAGAGGCGTGACATTTCTTAGTGGCTGTGTGACACTGAGCAAGTCACTTAATATAATGAAGCTGTGGGCTTCAGTCTCCTCATCTGTAAAATGGGGATAACAGTTGACCTACTGTGTGGCTGTCTTTTGTTTGTTTTGGCTGCACAGCCTATGAACCCCCTTCCGTGTTGGTGATCCACTACTGTGTGAGCTTCCATGGCAGGGTCTGCCTCCCACTGGGAAGCTAAAAAAGCCAGATGCTATGACTGACTCCTGGCAGAGAGGGAGTGAGGTGCTCATGCCTAGGTCTTCAAGTCTTAAGAATAATGCAAAGATGCAGGCCCAATTGAGAGTGATTCCAGTAGAGGTAGTGGGGTGGGGGGTTGCACTGACAATGACAGGAGTGGTGGTCACTATGCTGTCCAGATCCCTTCCTGCGGCATGAACTTGCTTGCTTTCTTCCATGCCTTCTTGTCAGGTCTGGGAGCAGCCTGATTTCCTCCAATGCATTCTATTTATTCTCGTAAGGGGAACAGAGTCAGTTTCTGTGGATGGGACCATGAGTCTCAGCTCACCTGCTTGGTCCTCAGCTACTTCACAGGGTGCTTAGGATGGGGCTACTTCAGTGCTGTTGGAGTGCAGCTCAGTAGGGAGGGGGGAAACCCCGGGGCTGGGAGTGTAGCATCTACTGCACACACCTTATTAATAAAGCTGAAATAATAATGCTCAAAATGACTGATTCAAAAATTATATTGAATAGCAGTTATTCCATCGTGAGGATGAGATATTGTGACTGTGTTTTGGAATGGACGGGGATGGAAGACATTCTCCTTATCTTACCAATAGAGAGCCTTTCCACTCCTCCTCCTCCATGTCTTAAATTTAGCTTAAAAATACATATTTAAAAACAGATGGGGAAAGGCACATGTCCATCTCCACAGACTGTCAGCATCTAGGAGGAGACATTTATTTCTGCACTGAGTCTGTCAGGTCTTGCGTCTGGCTTTGGCAGCCTCTCTGGTAAGGAAGAAGGAAAGAAAGACAATCCTGCTAGCCATGGCCCAGGCTTCCCTCCAGGAGAGGACATCTTCCAAGTTGAGTTTGGGCCTTACTTGGCCGCAGCAGCAGCGGCAGCAGCAGATTAACGTGATCTCCAGCCCTCCCCTCCCTGCCTGGGAGGATCCATGAGCTCGCCTCTGTTTGCTTAGATCCCTGGTCCTCAGGAAGCAGGCACCAGGGCCCACAGGAGGCCAGGCTCCCGCCAATTTGTCACGTTAACTGGTCTGGGCTGGATATAAAAGATATGGAGTTTTCCTACCCCATTGCCCAGGTTCTGTTGTTTTGGCCACTTTGGAAAACATTGAGGCACAAGAGCCTGAAATGTGCCCCTGGGGACAAAAAGGACTTGCGTTTGAACTTTCATCCTGGCTCCCCTCCAGCTTAACTGCCATCTCAGGGAAAGAGGCACTTTGAAGACACAGTATTTAATTACAGCATTTTTTGTTTGTTTGTTTTCTTTTAATGCTTCAAAGAGCAGGTTGTCAGGCTGACTTATATGAAAGCAGAATCATTAACCTCATGAATAACTCAGTGCAATGACCAAGGAGATTGAGGCAAAGGCGGCTGCTGAGGTGGGATTGCAAGGTGTCTCTGTGCCTCTGCAGGGAAACAAACACACAGCCACACTGCCGGCCTGCCATGGGGGTGGGCTCCAGCTCAGGCCTGCACAACTTCCCTCCTCAGTTTTTCCCAGGGCAGCCCACACAAAGGCTTCCAGTTGCTGGGGGCAGTGAGTGGGGTGGGGCTGTGGGGAGAAGACTCTGATCTGGGACTTTGGAAGGGGTGCATGTCCACCTGGAGGTACGGAGCAGCCCAGCAGCCCACATTTCCTTCAGCTCTTTGGGCCTCAGTTTCCTCACCTGTGAAATGATCCCAAGCTCATTTCTAAGTCTAGCTTTTCTTTGGTGCTTCAATATTTCCCACAAGCCTCTGAGGTGTCAGGTGGCTGGGCTATGGCTTTGGGGTCCCAGCCACTGCCATTCTCCCTTTTATCAACCATTTCAGCTGGCAAAAGCTGCAGTCCCACAAGAGCCACTGTATAAATGTCCCACTATTTCAGGGAAACTGCCTCTCTGGAACTGCAAGGGCTGATCTTGGTAATAAACAAGGAAAGCTGGGGTAGAGCTCCCTGGTTGTCTGAACTGGAAACTGGCCACTTGCTATTTCCTAAGACCAAACTGATGAGGGGCCCTGGGGACAATCAGACTGTCTATGGATCCAGACATCAGACCATCGAAGTGCAAAGCAGTGAAAAGGGGAAATCTGATTGCTTAAAAAAAATCTGTACCAAAAACATTCCATTTTAACCAAATAAGTTTATTTGATCATACAGAGAGTACTACTGAATTTAAAGGAAGTTAATATGAAAGTTCATGTGTTTCCTTCTAAGCTAAAAGCTGGTGTTAGTACCAAACAGACAGTGGCTGTGAAGGGGAAAAAAGCCATGGCAGATTTACCTATTTGGTAAATCTTTTTTTTTGTGTGTGTGTGGCAGGATCTCCTCTGTCACTCAGGCTGGAGTGCAGTGATGCGATATCGGCTCACTGCAACCTCTGCCTCCCAGGTTCATGTGATTCTCCTGCCCCAGCCTTCCAAGTAGCTGTATAACAGGTGCCTGCCATCACGCCCAGCTAATTTTTGTATTTTTAGTAGAGACAGGGTTTCACCATGTTGGCCAGGCTGGTCTCGAACTCCTGATCTCAAGTGATCCACCCACCTCAGCCTCCCAAAGTGCTGGGATTACAGGCATGAGCCACCACACCCAGCCTGGTAAATCTTTTTAAAAGTTCAACTTTTAAATCCATCCTCTCAAACCATTCTTAAAAAACCCCATTCTTGTCACCTTGAGAAAAAGCTAAAGAAAAAGCATTGCTTTTGCTACTCATTCAATACTATTTGAGTGAATCAGAGCCACGGGCTTGAAGGCCATGCCTGTGGAGGCCTATCTGCTCTATCACTCACCTTCTGGAGCCTGCACCCTGCTGTCCACTGTCCCAGCCAAGGTGTGATGAGTTGGTGCTATCTCCCTCTACTTCTACAGGCATCTCTTTTATTCTGACCAGAAAGTCCTTCTTTGTAGAGAGCAGAAATCTGACTCCCTGTAATGACCCTGCAGAGTGCATGGAAAACAAATCTCTTTGAAATGGCACCTTCATCTGTCCAGTTGCCCCAAAATTCACTCTCACCCTTCCTTCTCTGTCCTTCACATCCAACTGGACATTGACCTGGGTAATGCTGCCTCATAGCAGCCCATAAACTCTGTCTGTCTCAGAGTCCCACTGCCATTGTCCTGTTGAGATTTCGAACTCTTACTAGGACATCCCATTAGTCTTGTCACTGGTCCCTTTGCCTCCTCCCCCTGTCTGTCAACCTTCATGGTGGTCTGAGCAGAACTTTGGCATAAGGTAGTAGAAAGAGCATGGGTTTTGGAATCAGACAGGGACCTGTGCTTAAATTTGGGCTTTGCCACTTAGCTGCATAACCTCAGCCAAGTTTGTATTTTCATGCCTTATTTCCAGATCTACAAAATGAAGATAATATTGATTCAGGGTATTCTTATGGTGGTTAAATGAGATAACATCTTTAAAAATGCCTAATAAGATGTCATAAGTAGCTATCCTATAAATATTAAGTCCTTTTCCCTTACCCTATTCTCTACCCCTTTTAAACTTGTCAAGCGACATAGTTTCAAGCCACTTAATTGCACTGTTTGACATTATCTAAACCTTTCTAGTTTGTTTGACTCCAAGAACTAACCATAATATACTTGAGGCAGGGCTTGAGACCACAGAGTAGAACATTCACCCATCCATCCATCCATCCATCCATCCCTCCATCCATCCATCCAACATTTCTGGAGCAATTGCTAAGGCCCAGGCACTATGACAGTTGCTGGAAACACAGAAGCAAAAGACAAGGAGTATATAGCCTAGTGGCCTGGTGAGGGGCAATCTAATACAGCATCAGCAGGGGTAGAGATCACTGAGCCCAGGGGGCCTCATGGAGTGTAAGGGAAGAGCTCCTAGCCAGAAGCTGGGGCAGTGCAGGGTGGGTGCCCTGAAGGTGGGGCTGTCAGACTCTGGAGAAATGAGATGAGTTAGCCAGAGAGACTTGTGGCTTTAGAGACAAGGAGTGTCCGGATCCTTCAGGGCCTTATGTGACATGCTAGGGAATTTAGACTTGATTTTGAAGTCAATGGGTAACCTCAAAAAGACAGTGGCAGAGATTTTTGTTTCAGAAATACCCTTTTGCTTGCATTTCAGAGAATGAGTTGGGAGGAGACAAGACTGAGACCAATAGGGAAGGGACATCAGTGGTTCTGCTTGACCAGGGTGAGGGCCTGATCCAAAGCAGTGACAGTGGGCACAGAGAGAGAGCCCAATAGCAGAGAGGGCACCAAGCTGGAGTCGCTAGCACTTGGGGACCACTTGAATATGGGGCTTAAGGTAGAGCAGACTCAGAAAGGCCTCCAGAAGGCAGAGGCCTCCAAGTATGGGAGGCCAGTGATGTCATTCACCATGATGGGGAGCTTGGGAAGTCGGGATCAAGGAGTCAGAAGGGGCAGACCAAGTTTTGGACTTGGGGACACTCCTGTTTCAGGGTTAATGGAGGGAGGGGCCTGGAGGGCTTAAAAACCACCAGAGGATGGCATCCCAGAGATCAAGAAAAGATGGAGTGGGAGGCAGAAGGATCACTTGAGCCCAGGAGTTCAAGACCAGCCTGCACAACAGAGAGAGACCCCATGTCTACAAAAAATAAAAATTTAACCAGGTGTGACAGCGCATGTCTATAGTACTAGCTACTTGGGAGGCCAGGAGGATCACTTGAGCCAGGGAGGCCAAGGCTGCAGTGAGTTGTGATTGCACCACTGTCCTCCAGCTTGGGCAACAGAGTGAGACCTTGTCTCCAAAAAAAAAAAAAAAAAAAAAAAAGACACAGAGAGATGGAGAGAGATGTACTGCAGTCAAACAAGATAATGGCTGTAAAAAATGTCAGTTAAATTATCAAAGTAGAAGGTCACTTCCAGAGACATTGGCCCAAACTATTTCCCTGGAGAGTCTGAGCCAAGGGTTGTAAAGTGAATGGGAGATGAGTGAATGGCAAAGTTTACAGTCTGCTCTTTGAAGAAGCTTGTCTCTCTAGAGAAAGTGAGACATGGGTGGCATCAGAGGAGCTGACTGAGGCTTGAGCATATTTACATACGTGGGAAGGAACCAAGAGAGATTGAAGGTGAGCAGTAAGTAGGTCGTAGCCTGGCAGCAACAAGGAGGGGTAGAGAATGCTCTTGACGGGTAGTGAGGGCATTAAAGGAGCAGGAATTTTTGCTTATAGACAGAGGAGTTTGGAATAGACTGCAAAGCTTCAAGAGTGCTGAAGCTTCTTTCGCAGCCTGTGGGGCAAGTGCCCCCAAATGTCCTTAGAAGTGGTCGTAAGGGGACATGGGATCTTAAAGGTCTCATAGAAGACCCAGGTTGAAGTGAAAGGCCCAGATTAGAGGATGATTTGAGCAGAGGCCAGGCATGGCTGAGTCGATGCTGGTGGCAGGGATAGGGCTGCAATGTGACAGCGCAGCTCACAGTAGGTCTCACTACCAGATGGGGCTCCTGGCTTTCATTTGGTTTCACTTTCTGTCTTGCAGGAAGCAAGTTGGACCTGCACTCCAGCCTGTGGAGATGAACCTAGGACTGTGATTCTGCTATCCAGTATGTTGGCTGACCACAGGGTAAGATAGGCTCTCAAGGAACTTACCATCTTGTTTGTGCAAAATGAAAATACTTTGAAATAACTGTCTTGGGGAAAGACAAAAATAAGAACAGAATGCCGAGAAGATTACACACAAGGCATGCAACCCCAAGGTACAACACCTGAGATTCCTGAGAGGGAGATCTGGTTGTCATAGACAGGAAGAGCTGGAAGGAGGAGATGGCTCAGGAGGCTGATGGGGCTGGAGAGCTGCAAGGGGAGAGGTGAGAAAGGCTCTCCTGGGGAACAGTCTGAGGACCCTGTGCCTGCTTGGCCTTCCATTCATCTTTATGGCTTGGTCATGTGATCTGCATTGATCTGTAGTTCCAGGGAAGGACTTCCTTCCTTCCTTCCTTCCTTCCTTCCTTCCTCCCTTCCTCCCTCCCTCCCTCCCTTCCTTCCTCCCTCCCTCTCTCCCTCCCTCTTTCTCTCTCTCTCTCTTTCTTTCTCTCTTTCTCTTTCTCTCTTTCTTCCTTTCTTTCCTCCCTCCCTCCTTTCTTTCCCTTCCTTCCTTCCTTCCTTCCTTCCTTTCTTTTTTCTTTCTTTCTTTCTTTCTTTCTTTCTTTCTTTCTTTCTTTCTTCCTTCCTTCCTTCCTTCCTTCCTTCCTTCCTTCCTTCCTTCCTTCCTTCCTTCTTTCTCTCTCTCTCTTTCTTTCTTTCTTTCTTTCTCTTTCTTTTTCTTTCCAATGCAGCCACTTGGGACTTCACATATGAGATGAGGTGGTGAAAGCATGGAGATGGTCTAAAACTGAGCAGGAACATTAAATGAACAGGTGGAAGGAACCACCATACTCTCAGAAGAAATGGTCAACCAGCAGAGATCCTGAACCCTGATCCCAAAACCAATCTAGAGATACAGGAGGCACCAGAGGGAGGTTGGTGGGAGGCCAAGGAATTTTAGCAGAGACAAAAGGAAATTAGATCTCAGTTGAGGAAGAAGAGGAAAATGATACAAAGTGGGTAGGCCAGATGCCACTGACTGGGCATAGGCTGAGGGAAAGAGGGACTTTCTAGGTAGTCATATTATCTTCTGTTGTTGCCCTGGATGGACCATTACCCATTGCTTTGCACAAGGTGGAAAACTGCAGACCCCACCCAGTGGCAGCAGAGGAGGGAGGTTAATCTAAGGACTGAGATGAAGCCAGGCTGGGCTGGAATGAAGGTAAAAGGGACAGGTGATTGATAAATCCTCCTTGATTTTTCCCCCCTCTCCTCCTCAACCTAGAGGGCAGTGGGGCTGGGCAGGCACAGCAAAGGGAAAAAGCAACCCATGAAAGAACATTAATCAAACAGATATTCATCTTCTCAACAGGAAAACTGGTTTCAAGAAGAAAACAAGGCTGGGTATGGTGGCTCATGCCTGTAATCCCAGCACTTTGGGAGGCCAAGGCAGGAGGTTCACTTGAGCCCAGGAGCTTGACACCAGCCTGGGCAACATAAGGAGACCTCATCTCTACTAAAAATAAAAATAATAGCTGGGTGTGGTGATACACACTTGTAGTCCCAGCTACTTGAGAGACTGGGGTGGGAAGATTGCTTGAACTGGGGAGACTACAGTGAGCTGTGATCACACCACTGCACTATAGCCTGGGTGACAGAGCAAGACCCTGTCTCAGAAGAAGGAGAAGGAGAAGGAGAAGAAAATAAAATGTTAAAAGGAACTTAGAATGTAGAGGTCTAGCCGTAGTAATTTTATACTATAACCGTAGAGGATACTAACATGGTTGAGGGTGTGTGGAGAGACTTTATTCTCTGACTGTAATGCCATAAAATTAGTAATTACTAATGAAGAAATAGCTTTAAAAAAGCCTACCTGCCTGAAAAGAATACCTGTTTAAACAGACACACACATGGGAAAATACAAAATAGTGATGAACAATAATGAAAGCACAATGGGTTGAAATTTGAGAGACATAGCTTAGAATAATACATTTATTACCCAACAAGAAAGGCTGAAAACAAACTAGCCAAGCATTCAATTCAGGTATTTAGAAAAAGAGCAACAGAGTTACCTGATGCAAATAATATAAAATGAAATCATAAAGATGAGGACATAATGAAATAGAGAATAGTAATGACAGAGATAATTAACAAAACTAAAAGCTTGTTCTCTGAAAAACAAACCTCTGGCAAAAATGAGCAAGAATAGATGACATGCAAACAAAATGAAGGATTCAAAATGGGAAACATTTGCCTAAGTAATTGATAAATATCAAAAGAATTCTATGATCTAGAAAGCAAAAATTTTGAAAACCTACATAGAATTTTTAGTTGGATGAAATTTTGAGTTGGATGCATTATTTCTAAACATATTACACAAAAATAAAAAATGTTAACAGAACTATAGCTGCTAAAGGAATTAAAGAGTAATCAAAACCATGCCCTATCCTCCCTTTTTTAAGGCCCAGATCCACACAGTTTTACAGGCTAGTTTCACCAAACTTTAATGGAATCAAAAATCTCTATCTTATACAAGCTGTTTCAGAAAATAGAAAAAGGGAAAACTCTGCCTGACTTATTTTTATAATGCTAGTATATCCTTGATTCCAAAATCAGATAAGAACAGTATAATAAAAGAAAATCATAATCTATTTCATTTGGATTTCCTATTTAAATACTAACTCACTAAATCCAAGAGTGTATTTAAAAATGCAAAGATCACTCAAAATTGTAAAATCTCTCAAAGTAAATTGCCATAAGTGGAAATAAAAGCTTTTGTAAAATTTGATAAAATCTATATACCAAGATTTTACTGTGAATATATATATTAACAGACAAACTATTAATTAATTTGAGATTTGGAAAAAGATGAAGTACCTCTGAAACACTGTTACTTTTCAATATACTACTAGAGATCCTGGCCAATGCCATAATACATGAAAAAAAAATAAGAAGAATAAAGGTAGAGAGAAAAGGGACAAAAAGTCATTTGCAGACATAGAAATCCAACAGAATCAAGAGACAAACCACTAGAACTAATGAGATGTCAACAAATTTATTGGATACAAAGCCAACTTACAAAAATCAACAGTTTTCTTTTTTAAACTAGCATATAGAATAGGAAAAAAATACTATTTTCAGAGGCAAAAAAAAATTGTGAAGTACCTAGGAAAGTGTCCAACAAAGAATGTGCAAGTTCTTTAAGGACAAAAATTTTAAACTCTGTTAAAGATTATAAGACTTAAACAGAGAGGTAGAGTGTGTATGTAATGTAATTCTAAAAATATAAGTTCTCCACAAATTAATCCATAAATTCAATAAAAATTCAATAAGAATTAAGGTAAAATTTTGGCACTGGCATAACAAAGTGATTCTAAAATGTGTATGAAATAATAAATTTCAAAAAAGAGAAAACATTCACCCTAACATCTACTGTAGACATCCTACAAACTCCACACTAATTCAATGAATCTGCTGCTGGTACAGGATGATTAAGGTGAATGCAACAGAACAGAGGGTGCAGAAATAAACTCGTGGCTATATGTCATTTTATATGAGACAGGTGGCACTCATCAGTGGAGAAAGGATGGCTTATATAGGTGATATTTGGGGAACTGGTTTACTATTGGAGAAAAATTATTCAGATCTCTATCTTCTACCATATACAAACATAATCTCCAAATATAGACCTAAATGTGAAAGGCAAATTTATGATATTGAAAAAATGAAGGAGCTTGTGTGTGCACATGTGTGATTTGGGGGTATAAAAGATTTTTCACACATTATTCAAATAGCATGAATCATAAGGGACAAAATGGTTGCGTGCAACCACACTAAAAATTTCTGTTTAATAAAAGACACCATACACCAAGATGACAGATTGATCGTAGGTTTGAAGATACATGCAACTTTTAAAACTAACAAGGATATTTCTAGAATATACCAGGGACTACCACAAATCAAGAAGGAAAAGGCATGAAAAAATTAGACAAGATATTAACTCACAAGAGGCTAACTAATGTACAAACAGATGCTTAACTTCACTAGTGATCAAAGACACACAAAACAAAAGAAGATGCCACTTTCCACCCATCAGATTAGCAGCCAGTGGGAGGTAAGATATTATCAAGCATTGATAAGGCTGTGGGGAGTGAGAGCTTTCAAGACTGTTAGTGGTGATAGCAACAGGAGACAGACAAATTCCTGGGCAGACAGAGACAGGTCCCTGGTGAAACTCCACCTTCAAGCCAAGAACACTCTAAACCCTGAAAACTGAGCTACAGTTCCGGATAGAATCCATGAACCTGAATGAGAACTTCCATCCCCATTTTACCTACTCTCTCTCAATTGGTTCTTTCTAAATGATGCCTCTTAACCAATTGAATGGTGCCTTTTCCAAGACTATTTTGCATATGCCCACTTTCTCCTGATTGGCTCTTTTCACAAACTAATTGAAGGGTGTCTTTTCCAGTCCTACTCATAAACCAATCAGCATGCATTTCCCCATTCTAAGCCCATATAAACCCTAGACTCAGCCTCTCAGCCAGCTACCCACTTTTGGGTCCCTTTTTGCTGTCAAGGGCTTTTCTTTTGCTCAATAAATTCTACCCTGCCTTACCCCATGATATGGTTTGGCTGTGTCCCCACCCAAATCTCATCTTGAATTGTAGTTCCCACAGTTCCTACATGTCATAGGAGGGACCTGATGAAAGGTAAGGGGATGATGGTGGTGGGTCTTTCCTGTGCTGTTCTCATGATAGTGAGTAAGTCTCATGAGATCTGATGGATTTATAGAGTAGTTCCTTTGCACAGTTACCCACCACCATTTAAGAAGTCCCTTTGCTCTTCCTTTGTCTTTCATCATGATTGTGAGACCTCCCCAGCCATGTGGAACTGCGAGTCCACTGACCCTCTTTTTCTTCATAAATTACTCAGTCTTGGATATGTCTTTATTAGCAGTGTGAGAATGGACTAATTATAATACACCCCCTCTCCAGTACCTTATTACTCTTGGTCATGAGACAAGGACCCAGAACTCACTGAACTGTGATAATAAAAGAGCTGTGACACTCCTGTCAGCTGAACTACCAGAATGAAAAAAGCTGCAACAGGGGGACTGTTGTAAATTGTACATCCTGGAGTGCAGTCTGGCATTTTCTATAAAGTAATTTACATGCTCTGTAATTCAGCAGTTCCACTGCTTGGTATATGTCCCAGATAAATTCACAGACAATTATAAGAAGAAACATGAGCAAGGATGCCCATTTCAGCATTGTTTGTTGTAGCAGAGAGCTGTCTAACCAACACATCTTTCATCAGGGGAATAGGGAAGTAACAATAATGTTAACTAAGGTGTTTTTTCCTCTGCACTTTTTATGTGCCAAGTGCTTCTCGAAGCTCTTCAGATACATCCAGTCCAAAACTCATTTAATCGTCATAACCACCCTGTGATGTAGGCACTAGTACCATCCCATTTTATATATTAGGAACCTGAGGTACAGAGCACTTAAGTAATTTGCCAAAGACAACACAGCTAGTAAGAGACAGAGTGGGATACGGTGGGGTGCATACAGTGAAATATTCTGCAGTAGTCAGAAACCATGAATCAGATTTAGTGACAAGATCTTCAAAAAGGTAGTGTTGAATGAAAAAGTGAGATATATAACCCAATATCACTCTTATTAAATAAAAGCACATACATTCTCAAAAATGTTAGGTATTCTTCAGTGAAAGGACATTTGAGTGGGTCCCTGTGGGTAGGAGTGGGAAGGGGAGATGAAGGGAAAAATGATGGGGCTTGCACACAACTGTGAGATCATCTGCCATGACCCAGAGAGGAGAAAGCTGAGCTTTCTGAATTGGAGGTTCAGTTGTTAAGAAGGAAACCACCATCATTAAAATCTTTTGGGACTGTTGAGTAACCCAGAGTAAGGTTGCTCAGAAAAGAGAGAAGGCTAACACTGAGGTGCTCCCGAGAGGCTCCTACATTGACCCCATTCTCTGAGGGTTACTAGGCACAAGCAAGAAAAGATAGTAGGGAAATGCAGATTTTATCAATTCCCATTCACTGTTATATATCCACATGCACAGAATTAAAAGCAGGCCAACATTCTTCATGCTATCTAAAAAAGGTTTCTGGGCCACCTTTCCTCACTGCTATTTCCTAGACATGCTAATTTCAACATAACCTTAAGCAACATAAAATCAGGGAGCAAAAGCTATTTAAACACACATACCATAAAATGGCACTCTGTCCAGATACCCTACAGATTCTTCAGTCTTTTCCCTCTCACAATGGGAGACGGTTGATATAGCAAGTTACAGAAGGAGCTTCCCAGAAAAAGAAGCTGAGGGCAGGGGTTATTTCCAGACACTGGTGCCCAGAAGCCACTGATCAGGATGTGTGTTCAGGGGACGTGTGTGTTGTGGGGGACGGTGAACATGGATGAAGCCCCATTTTTTAAAAAACTCAGATCCCAGCTGAGACTCCCACAGGGTGCAAGGGTTTACATGAGGCCATGATTAAAAGGCAGGACTGACTGGGGGGGCTCAGGAGGAAATGTTCCCAACAGGGTGCTTGACTACTGTAGCCCAGTGGAATTCTTCACTTTCAGGCCAGGCAAAGGTCATGAGGCAGAGGCATCTCTGGAGAAGTTTGCTTTGCTTTGCTCTTTAAGCACTGCAGAAAGAGCATTGGATTGGGGAATAGAAGACTTTCTTGTCTTTACTCTGCCTGTTCCCAGCTGTTTGAGTCTCTGCTATTAAACAGGAAAAATTAGGCCAGTCCTGCCTACTCAAGGGAAGGGGGGATAGGTTGTGAGGTTCATGAAGTTAAACGTGCATAAATGCTTTTAAATCTGTCAAGTGCCATATGGCTGTAGAAATGACAATGTCATGTGCTTTGATCTGCGCCTTCTCTGAACCACACAGGCTTGTGAGTCCTTTCCTAGTCCTAGGATGGGAGTTAAGCTTGATGTATTTCATCTGCAGGAAAATGAAGGATTGGTCCTGGATGACACCCTGCATCCGCAAAGAAACTGAGGCCCAATATCCAATTTATTCCTCCTTAGGAGGAATGATTTTGGGGGTTAGGGGAGGATGGCATGTGTTCAGAATGGAGAGTTCACACCTGTGATGAGGTTGGGTGAAGGCTTGGCCTCAGTTGCCCTGTGACTTTGCGTGAATGTTACTGGGTGCCTCAGGCTCTGCTCACCTACTTATAAAATAAGTAAAAATATCCCCCTCCCCATCCTGACTGTGTGAAGATGGTTAGGATCCAGTTACACACTGAGTTCATCTAAGTCCTGGAGAAAGATTCAGCTTTTCTTGTTGCGCATCTCCATCACCTTCATCTTTGGCACTCACTTGCTTTTAAAACGCCTTAATACAGTAACCACAGAAACAGTGGGTGACTTTCAAGTCCATGCCTTGGAAAGTCAAAAGTTCTCCATCTTTTCACTGCCCAGCAGCCCCAAGTGAGCCAGGCGCTGAGCTACTGTGATAAAATTTTGGTTTCATCCCTCAGAACCTGGGTCACCATTTGCTTTCTTCTTCTTTTTTTGTTTTTGAATGAGCTACTATTGTCAGAATGCAGGAGATGTCTGTTAATAAACTAAAGATTTCATGCCACCAGTGATTTTTCTAAGAGGAGACCAGAATGCAGCTGACCAGTCTTACTTGTCTCCTTTTGTGTTGAGAAGTTTTGACTGGGTACATGGTCCTTATTGGGTTTTGGGGCTGCTAATATGATTTTGCTGCCTGGAAACGCAAAAGCCATGAGTCAGTTAAGAAGCAAGGTGAAGCTATTTCCAGCATCTCCCAGTAAGGATGGAGGCCTGGGTGATGGTAGAAATGAATCTAGCAGGCAAGGCTGTTCTTTCTCTCCAGGGATGCCTCAGCCTCTGTGGCAGAGCGATACTTTATCTTTGGACGCACAGGCTCTGCATTCCTGCTTCTGGGCAGCCTGCCCAGCTAGTGTCCCAGCGGACGGGGAGATTCAGTAGGTTCAATTTGATTCAATTCAGCAAACATTTACTCACCTCCTACTGTGTCCAAAGTAGACAAAAATAAAGGTCTTCTTTTTTCTTTTAGATTATGAAAATGAAGTATTCTTGTTCTAACATTTTAAGTGTTAAGCTGGAAGGCCACCCCCTTACCCCTTCAACCACACCTCCCTGAGGTACTCAATGTTGAGGTTGCATTATTATTATTATTTTTGTTATTTAGTTTTTATTTCATAATTATAAACTTAACTTTGCAATCCAGCTAGGCATGGATGGAAACAAAACATGGAACCCAAAGGAATTGCAGTGAGAGCACAAAGATTATAGGATACTGTGAGCAAATGGGGTGGAGGGGTGCTCTACTGAGCTACAGATGGAATGGTCTGGTGGTTAAGATAAAACACAAGTCAAACTTATTAGAGTTATCCACAGTCAGCAATGGTGATCTTCTTGCTGGTCTTGCCACTGGACCCAAAGCGCTTCATGGCCTCCACAATATTCATGCCTTCTTTCACCTTGCCAAAGACCACATCCTTGCCATGCAACCACTGAGTCTTGGCAGTGCAGATGAAAAACTGGGAACTGTTTGTGATGGGTCCAGCATTTGCCATGGACAAGATGCCAGGACCTGTATGCTTTAGGATGAAGTTCTCATTATTAAATTTCTCGACATAGATGGAAACTACCAAAGGTACTATACTTTGATTTATTCCTCACCGAATTCCAGGATTTCTGTGGATCTTCTCATCAATGTTGCTATGGTCTGAATATTTGTGTCCCCCCAAACTCATCATTGAAATCCTAACTGCTAAGGTGATAGTATAAGGAGGTAGGGCCTTTGGGAGGTGAATAGGTCATGAGGGCTGGCCTCTCATGAATGCAATTAGTACCCTTGTAAAAGAGACCCCAGAGAGCTAGCCAGCCCCTTCCGCCATGTGAGAACACAGTTAGAAGGCACCATCTATGAATCAGAAAGCAGGTCCTCACCGGACAGTAAATCGGCTGGCATCTTGATCCTGGACTTCTCAGCCTCCAGAACAGTGAGAAATAAATTTCCGTTGTTTATGAGCTACCCAGTTGAGGGCATGTTGTTTTAGCAGCCTAAATGGACTAAGATCTGTGTCTTTTTATCCTACTTATTCTTAGATCTTGTCGCTTTTTGTGGGTGTACTTATTTCACCTTCATAACATTATCCCTGCTGTTTACACGGTGGGCTGTCAAGAATCCTCATTAAGGTAGCACCCTGAACCTACTTTATTTGGAAGCCTACACTAATTTTTGGCTTTCGATTCTCATTGCCCTCCTCAGGAACGTATTATAATTTGACAAGCAAACTCATCCTCTTCCACTTTCCAAAACAACTTTAGTATACACAATATAGAAAAGGAAATATATGTTTGGTGCTGCTATCTTTTTATTTTATTTTTTTTGAGACAGAGTCTCACTCTGTCACCCAGGCTGGAGTGCAATGGTGTGGTCTTGGCTCACTGCAACCTCTGCCTCCCGGGTTCAAGTGATTCTCCTGCCTCAGCCTCCCAAGTAGCTGGGACTACAGGAGCCCGCCACCATGCCCTGCTAATTTTTGTATTTTTAGTACAGACAGGGTTTCACTATGTTGGCCAGGCTGGTCTTGAACTCCTGACCTTGTGATCTGCCTGCCTTGGCCTCCCAAAGTGCTGGGATTACAGGCGTGAGCCACTGCACCCGGCCTGGTGCTGCTATCTTATTTCTCATGAGTACAAGCTTTGAAGGACAGGGACTTGATCTTTTTTTCTATTCCATAAAATGCTGATATGGCTAAGCTTTGCAGGATTTTAGGTGTTGTCGTATATGTAGTTAATTCCATGGGCAGCCCCTCACTGAAGGGTGGGGTTATCTGAGATCACCAAGCTCTAATGCCTTACCAATCTGTTGCTTTCTCATTTTGTTCAACTTTTTTCTTGGAAAGAAAAACATTGAACATAGCAAGATGAATCAGCCAAATATTGTACTCTGTGTGTGTGTTGGGGGTTGGGGGAGACAGAGTTGAGGTGGCAGAGGCAATGTAGGAGGAGCAGACGGACTGACTAGAATGCACAAATAGTACGTGAATTCTTCCCGGCCAGGGATCTGAGCCTACTTTGTCTGCATCATATCACCAGCATCTCGGTTGTGTCTGGCACATAGTAGGTGTTCAGTAAACATTTTTGCACTGAATGAAAGAATGAAGTTCTCACTTTTTTCAGAGATGTGATTTGTGATTCTCGGAATCAGCCAGGGTCCTAAGATGTCCTGGAGGCCGTCTCCATTTCTCTCAGCGAGCTAAGGTGTCTGAGTGGCACCAGTCCTCCACTCTTTCTGCGATCTTTGCCCGCCGCACGCCTTTCTCAAATCTTCCGGTTATTAAGCTCAGGGGTCCGGTGGCCCGCCCCTGTAACTCCAGAGGTTGCATTATTGGCTTCCATAAGTTTTCCATGCTTCTAGAAACATATCCACACATGTAAAACTTTTATCAAAAAAAAAAAAATGAAATAGTATGATGTATCTTTTTGCAACTTTGTTCTTTTCCCTCCTTAACCATACAACATAGAAAGTTTCCAAGTTAACGTATATAAAACTAGCTCACTTCTTTATAATAGCTGCATTCAATTACATAGGACAGGTATTGTGAAGTTTAATCATTTCCCTTCTGATGTTCATTCAGGCTGTTTCTAGGTGGTTTTTTTTTTTCCCTTAGCTACTCTTGCTGGGAGTGTAGTGTGCTTAAAACAGGGGCCTTGCGAGTGGATAGACCTCGGTCTGAATCTCAACTTAGCCACTTACTGTATGACCTTAGGGATGTTCTCTGAGGTCCCCCAGCCTCACTGCCTTCAGCTGCAAAGTGAAGGCAGCAAGCAGCTCACAGTGACACACGCAGTAAGGACTGAATGATGGACACCGAGTGTTTCTAAGAAAGGGTGTGACATACAGTGACTGTCCAATTAGTTCTAGCAGTAACTTGGGGTTTGGAAATCTTCATCTTGTCAGAATTCCCACTGCTGTAATTGAAGAATAGGACTCTTATAGGACTTGGGGCTCCCAGGAGGAAGTCATTGGCAAAATGCAGATCCAGCTGCTCCAAAGTCTACAATACCTGCAGACAAAGGCACGGCCTCCTCTGAAGGTAGAGCCTGGGGAAGTCCTTGGGCAGCCCTAGGAAGGAGGTGGACCTCCTGCCTCTGCTCTGCCAGCAACACACCTTGAGGGGTCCTGCTTATCCTAGGTGGGGTTGTGTTCAGAGAAGTGGAGGGAGGCTGCTTTGGTGAAGGGGTCTTATGCGAGGTCCTCATGCAAGGACCATCTCCTATTTGTAGAGACAATCTTTTTGTTTTCCAGATGCAGAAACCTCTCTGGTTTAGTCAGGCGCCCTACACTCTGACATGTGGCTGGCAGGCTGCAGCCACTGCCACCCCCTGTGTGAAGTGACGAGAACCACTGGCAGTCCTTAAGGGCTATGTGGTCATTTTCCTAGATGGCCTTGAGGCTCAGTGATTGTAACTCTCAAGTGCCTTGTCCTGTTAGCCTCCTCTGTTGAAGAACTTAGAGCATGTGGGGTCTGGCTGTCAGCCCCCTGACAGTTTGCTGCCCTCCAAGGCATGGCGTTCTTCATAACACACCTGCTTTCACAGGCTGGCTTCCCCATCCGCCATGATATTCACATGGTCTCTTGGTAGAGCCCTTTCATTCTAGGGTCCAGGGGCAAGGCGGGTAGTCCCAAAGTCCTCTTGCTGATTCTCTTTCTCCCAGGAGGCTCCAAGGCCATCAGACAAATGCACCCTCGGTGACCTCCTTTGATATCCCAGCAATCCTGAGTGTTTGCACAGATTGGGTCTCCTCCATCCGTTTGCACAGGCTTACCTATCCACTCAGAACTTTCCAGGTCAGTGCTTCAAATAGTGACCCACAGACTGGTTTCAGTCACTGACTAACAGTGAAACAAGAACTACAAGAACAGAGTGGTGAGTTTGCACAAAGCTAAGCGTACTCTATTTGTGGGGATGTTCTTTACCCTTTGGGATTCAGAGATTACTTTTTTCGGCATTAAAATATCTTTAAAAATGATGAGCATTTATTTATTATGTATTTAATTTCCTTTCTTTTTACAAATGGGAGATTAATTTTAAACAATATTTTAAATTAATTTCTGTGATTTTTCTGTTCAGGAACTTCGCCCATATTTCCACTGGATGTTAATGTTTTTCACATTGATTTGCAAGATATATTTTTAAAACATTAACTCCTCAATAGACACACGGGCCTACTTGAGGGTGAAGGGCGGAAAGAGGGTGAGGAACGAAAAAATGCCTATTGGATGTTATGCTGATTACCTGGGTGACAAAATTATCTGTGCAACAAACCCCAATGACACGCAATTTACCCATGTAACAAACCTGCATGTGCACCCCTTGAACCTAAAATAAAAGTTGGAAAGCAGAAAAATAAATAAATACAATTGAAAATAAAAACATTAATTTCTATAGAAAATATTTGCGAAAATATCAGTTTGTCACATGCCTCTTAATTTGATGTACCCTGCATGCTTTTTGATGTGCATTTAAATTTCATGCATTCACATTCAATTCTTTCTGCAATCTAGATAATAAAAACCGTGAAAATAAATTAACTCTATTCTACATCTTATCTCAACTTTGTATGACTTTTTTTTTTTCGGGTAAAAATATTTTTCCAGTTTATTTTTACAGTTTGACTTGCCAAGAGAAAAAAAGATTTCAGAGAATCAATATGGTTCTATTTCTTTTTTTTTTTAAAGTGAAAACAGTATGGTATTTATTTATTTATTTATTTATATTATTATTATACTTTAGGGTACATGTTTTAGGGTACATGTGCATAACGTGCAGGTTTGTTACACATGTATACATGTGCCATGTTGGTGTGCTGCACCTATTAACTCGTCATTTAGCATTAGGTATATCTCCTAATGCTACCTCTCCCCACTCCCCCCACCCCACAACAGTCCCCGGTGTGTGATGTTCCCCTTCCTGTGTCCATGTGTTCTCATTGTTCAACTCCCACCTATGAGTGAGAACATGCGGTGTTGGTTTTTTGTCCTTGCGATAGTTTGCTGAGAATGATGGTTTCCAGTTTCATCCATGTCCCTACAAAGGACATGAACTCATCATTTTTTATGGCTGCATAGTATTCCATGGTGTATATGTGCCACATTTTCTTAATTCAGTCTATCATTGTTGGACATTTAGGTTGGTTCCAAGACTTTGCTATTGTGAATAGTGCCGCAATAAACATACGTGTGCATGTGTCTTTATAGCAGCATGATTTATAATCCTTTGGGTATATATCCAGTAATGGGATGGCTGGGTCAAATGGGATTTCTAGTTCTAGATCCCTGAGGAATCGCCACACCGACTTCCACAATGGTTGAACTAGTTTACAGTCCCACCAACAGTGTAAAAGTGTTCCTATTTCTCCACATCCTCTCCAGCACCTGTTGTTTCCTGACTTTGTAATGATTGCCATTCTAACTGATGTGAGATGGTATCTCATTGTGATTTTGATTTGCATTTCTCCGATGGCCAGTGATGATGAGCATTTTTTCATGTGTTTTTTGTCTGCATAAATGTCTTCTTTTGAGAAGTGTCTCTTCACATCCTTTGCCCACTTTTTGATGGGGTTGTTTGTTTTTTTCTTATAAATTTGTTTGAGTTCATTTTAGATTCTGGATATTAGCCCTTGTCAGATGAGTAGGTTGCAAAAGTTTTCTCCCATTCTGTAGGTTGCCTGTTCACTCTGATGGTAGTTTCTTTTGCTGTGCAGAAGCTCTTTAGTTTAATTAGATCCAATTTGTCAATGTTGGCTTTTGTTGCCATTGCTTTTGGTGTTTTAGACATGAAGTGTATGACTTGTTTTTACTTAAAATTTAATGTTTTAAATTTACTGTCTCCCTCCATCCATTTGACTTGATGTCCTTATTTGGACGGATTACACTGTTGTAGGTGGTCTCTTTACCTTCCTGGCTCTCCTGGGTAGTGCTAGTCTCAATGGAATGGGCTCATCCGTCCTATTACACCTTGTGAAAGCTTGAGAGCTGTCATCAACACACCTGGCTGCTTTGTTGATTGTTCTGTAATCCATTTAAAACAAACAAAGAAACAAAAGTAATGTATTTTAAAATAACTTCCTTATTTTTCTAAAACCTTAGACTCTCCCTTTCTCAGCTTACATCCCAATGTCTTTTTTTTTTTTTTTTTGAGATGGAGTTTTGTTCTGTCGTCCAGGCTGGAGTGCAGGTGCGGCGGCATGATGATCTCGGCTCGCTGCAACCTCTGCCTCCTGGGTTCAAGCCATTCACCCACCTCAGCATCCAGAGTAGCTGAGACTACAGGTGCATGCCACAATGCCCTGTTAATTTTTGTATTTTTAGTAGAGATGGGGTTTCATCAGGTTAGCCAGGCTGGTCTTGAACTCCTGAGCTCGAGTGATCTGCCTGCCTGGGCCTCCCAAATTGTTGGGATTACAGGCACAAACCTCTGCCCCTGGCCCCAATGTCCTTCTTGATGGACTCACTAGCATAAAACTCCTTTGTTAGCTCACCGTTACAGGGTTCATTCTCAACAATTGCTATTATAATTTACACTTTTCAATAGTCGCTAATTCAATGTTATAACTTACAATTACAACAACTATTGTTACCATTTGACTCAGAGGGGTTCACAAGAGAAACAAAGATGGGGTGACCCTCTGGGGCCCAACCTTAATCTGATGGTAACCAAAAAATGGTGCCTTCTACACTGGCTTTGCTGCTGGGTAAATTCACTCTCAGCCACCCATTTGCTCTACTGTGTGAAATTGTTGCCTTAATTTTAGAGCATTTATTGTTTTCAGTGGGAATTAGGGGCTTCAAACAGGGCCAGAAATGGAAAGGGTAGTCATGGCAGGAATATGAATTGGGCACCATGGTAGTGTGGAGAGAGCACTGGGTGTTTGGACCCCAGGACTCTAATCCTGACAGTAATGTTTAATTATGGGACCTGGAGCAGGTGGCCAATTCTCTGTGCCTCATCTTTCTGCATCTGGAAAACAAATACATTGGTCTTTATATGGGGGTACCCACACAGGCCACCAAGGTGCAAAATGAAGATATTAGACTTTATATGGATAATTATGCTATCTTTAAAAAAATCTATCTGGATAGTGACTGGTTCCCTACATCAGGCAGTCATGGCACATAGATGTTACTGAGGGAAGGAGGGGGTTCATTATGCAAAAGTGTGGACAATGGCCTCCTGACTACTTTGTTAGCTTTCATATTGCAATGTTTTGCAGTTTGCTCATGCTCCATTAAAATGTATTATCTGGTTTGAACTAAACTAACCCTCATGAAATGGATGAGTGACTTAAAGATTCCTGCAAAGAACCACCATGGCACACATTTACCTAAGTAACAAACCTGCACATCCTGCACATGTATCCCAGAAATTAAAATAAAGATTTCTGCAAAGAAATGGGTAGGTTGAAGAGAACAGTAATTATACAAAGACAAGAAAACAGCAAGCGAATGTCAGAATCAACCCTCCTGTGCCTGGAATAATCTCTGAATCAGTGTCACTATTAGCTAAAAACAATGAAGACCTAATTGGATCCAACAAGAAGTTGTCTTAAAACCCCCAAATTCTCTTTTTATTTTTAATTTTTTAATTAAATTAATTTTTTTTGAGACTGAGTCTCACTCTGTAGTCCCAGCTGGAGTACAGTGGTGTGATCTCAGCTCACTGCAACCTCTGCCTCCCAGTTTCAAGAGATTCCCCTGCCTCAGCCTACTGAGTAGCTGGGATTACAGGCACCTTCCACCATGCCTGGCTAATTTTTTTTTTTTTTTTTTTTGTATTTTTAGTAGAGATGGGGTTTTGCCATGTTGGCCAGGCTGGTCTCGAACTCCTGACCTCAGGTGATCCACCAGCCTCGGCCTCCCAAAGTGCTGGGATTACAGGAGTGAGCCTGGCCCCCAATTCTCTTAAGATATGGATTTCTTCCTCTTACTAACAATACACTTTGTTCAGTGTGCACATTGTGCCTTTGCCAGTTATCTTTTTCAGCTCTGACAACCATTAAAAGCAAGCCTGAATATAAATGAAACTTTCGAAAAAAAAAAAGAAATTGAACTTTTGAATTGATGTATGAAAAGTCTGGTATTTGAGATATTTGAATTGATGTATCTCAAAGAATAATTCCAAGGTTTTTTAAAAAGGTGCAAATTCTACCACATTGCTCTCACTACAAATATGATTATGGATAATATTTTAATGAGAGCAGACATTTTTATGTAATTAATAACTAAAGGTGAATATGTTAAGAACTTTTTAGTTTTTATAGCATATTTTAAAAAGCATTTGTTTCATAGTGAATATATTAGTAAGTACATACATGTATTATATAGAAAGAAATACCTCCTCCGCTGTCTGGCTGTGTGACCTTGGGCTAGTCTAGCAGGGTCCAGAGGACTCAGTGAGAATGACAGAATCTGTACCTCGTGGGCTGGGCAGGGGTTCCAGGGGCGCTGGAAAGCGGGGTACTGTGGAGCCCTGCGGGACGCTGTGCCCCACGGGGTCTGTCTGGGTGTGGAGGCAGCTGTCCAGCCAGCGGAGGTGGACCCGGCCCGGAGCTCAGACAAGCATGTCGGTTCCCTGAGAATCCCTTGGCTAAAGGCTGCCCTTCCCAAGCCCGCCCTCTCCCTGCAACCCAGTTAAGCCATATCCAGGGGTCCTGGTGCCTTGCGACCCCACAGGGCCTCAGGAGTCTGGCGGTTTCCCACACCTTTGCACTCATGCACCTCATGGGTGGGCGACAGGTAGATCAGACCCTCCTAGGGCTCCAGCGCTCCTGGCCCTGCGGGGTCAGAAATAGGGCCTGTGTCTGCACCCTCCTCCCTCCTGGACCTTGCAGACAGCAGCGAGCCCCAGGCGCAGTTCTGCCCTTCTACCCGGGTCACGGGGATGCTGCCTGCAGCCCTGCCTCCTGGAGGGGCCCACTTACCACAGACAGAGGCAGGAAGGACATGTTTTCCCCTTTTTGGTTCCAGGGGTGATGTCAGGTCGAGAGGCGGCTGGTCTTGGCAGTGGGATGTATGACCTGCCGGCCTCTACTTGCACCCTTTACTGGACCCCACAACTGTTAGCCCTGGGCCCCCCTCACCCCTCCCCTGCAGCAGCCACAGCCTCCTGATTCTCTGACCCATTCTTCAAGACACAACCAGAAAGCCAATGTGATCAGATGAGACCTTCCCTTAAAGCCCTTCACAGACCACCTTATCACCCAAGTAAAGGCCCCCTGCCCCATCCAAAAAAAATATGTATATGTCTGTGTGTGTGAATATATGTATGTGTATATATGTCTGTATATGTATATGTATGTATATGTATGCATACATATACATACACATGTATGTGTATGTGTACGTATATGTATATGTATGTATACATGTACATACATATATACACACACATATATGAATAATGTGCTCTATACTTTTTACTGATTGAAATATCCAATCAAAGAAGGGTGACAACGTAGATTGGGTGGTTGTTGAGCAGTCTTTTGGTGGTGATAGTCTCCTTGGAATCTGTTTCAGAAACCAGGCACAGTTATAGGAGAAGCTTTTTGGAATATATTAAGATCAAACACTTAGTAATGATTTTTAAAAGATCAAGCATCGTTTATTGAGACCAACAAATAACTTTCACCTTTTTACTACTGTGGAACATAAAAATATTAACGGAGGATTTTTTTTCTATTTTAAATGTCCCTCACTGCTGAACTGCTCATAGATATTATGTTTTTAAGGGAGTAGTGGAATTAATCATTAAATGCAAATTTACTACTTATATTTCCCAGAAAGTATATCATGGGAATTACAAATAATCTCCATTTTCTAAAATTATCCTCAAATTTATAATGCTATCAGGATGTAAGGTGAGTTAAAGTACAATTGCATTTTTTTAAAGTTTTAAAAACTAAAACTGAATGTAGATAATTCCAAAATATTTTGAGAAGGCCTCCTCAGTGTTCCATGATTTTGACATGTGTGGTTATGTGGAGGCTCAGTGAACCCGCAGGGTAACACACTTCTATTTTTGGATGGAGGCATGCAGGGAGAAAGGATGAAAAGGACAACGCAGCTTTGATAGGAAGCCTGCTTTTGGGGAAGGGATGGTCCACTCAGGCTTCCTGGAGGGTGGGAGTTCTTCCTGCCCAACATTGCCCCTCGTTTTCCCAGAGGAGCTTAAAACCCCAGTGAAAAAGCCACAGTTCCTGGAAAGTGTTATGGATCTGATAGCATTACATTTTATAAGCTATTAATACCCAAATTCACCATGTCCAAAAATGAGTTCCTTAATGACTAAGCCCCCTATCCATCACTAAACCAGCTTTGTCTCTCTATCAAAGTAAATGGCCCTGATATGGCTCCAATGACTGGAGGAACATCAGGTCCTTGGTCTCATGCTGATTTAGATAAAATGACATGGACACATGCGGAGTGGTTTAAGGAGCGGATAATTTAATAGGCAAGAAAGAAGAAAGAAGAAAGAAAGAAGAGAACAGCTCCCCTGTACAGAGACAGAGGGAGGGCAGAAAAGTGGTCGGTTATATGGGAGGCTGGAGGAGGCAGTATCTGATTTGCATAGAGCTGTAGGGTCCAGCCCTACTGGGTCTGTGGGTTTTTCTCCTGGTGTGCGGAGATGAGAGGTCGTAGAAATAAAGACACAAGACAAAGAGATAGAAGAAAAGACAGCTGGGCCCGGGGGACCACTACCACCTAGATGTGGAGACTGGCAGTGGCCCCGAATGCCTGGTCGCGCTGTTATTTATTGTGTACAAGGCAAAGGGGCAGGGTAAGGAGTGTGAGTCATCTCCAGTGATTAATAAGGTCATGTGAGTCACGTGTCCACCGGACAGGGGGCCTTTCCCTTTTAGGTAGCCGAGCTGGAGAGAGGACAGCTTACGTCATTATTTCTTCTATGCTCTTCTCAGAAAGATCAAAGACTTTAATACTTTCACTAATTCTGCTATTGCTATCTAGAAGGCGGAGCCAGGTGTACAGAGCAGAACATGAAAGTGAAACAGGAGCGTGACCTCTGAAGCACAGCATCACAGCGAGACGTTTAGGTCTCCGGATGGCTGCGGGCGGGCCTGACTGATGTCAGGCCTTCCACAAGAGGTGGTGGAGCAGAGTCTTCTCTAACTCCACCGGGGAAAGGGAGACTCCCTTTCCCGATCTGCTAAGTAACGGGTGCCTTCCCAGGCACTAGCGTTACCACTAGACCAAGGAGCCCTCTAGTGGCCCTGTCCGGGTGTGACAGAGGGCTCACACTAGTCTTCTGGTCACTTCTCACCATGTCCCTTCAGCTCCTATCTCTGTATGTCCTGGTTTTTCCTAGGTTATAATTGTAGAACAAAGATTATTATAATATTAGAATAAAGAGTAATGCTATAAACTAATGATTAGTAATATTCATATATAATCATATCTATATTCTATGCCTAATATAACTATTCTTATTTTAAGTATTTTCTTTATTATACTGGAATAGCTTGTGCTTTTAGTCTCTTGCCTCGTCACCTGGGTGGCTTGCCGCCCACAGAGGGCCCAGGGGATTGGTTTGACCAGGTGTGTCATTCACGAAGCCCGTGAAAAACCCGGCCCTCCCACCTTATCCTTTTAATGTGCAAATGTGGGCCGCTCTGATGTCCTGAACACATGCAGTTACCTGGAGGTGGCCATGACACTTGGCATACCTGGTGACAAGAAGAAGGCACGAATCACCATATTGGGTGGACTCAGCTTCTAATGGCCTGCGTTTGCATATCAAAGCTTGCCAGCCTGGCCCTTTAATTTGCCTTTCTGTTAGAAAAGAAATGATTTGGCCAGGTGCGGTGGCTGATGCCTGTAATCCTAGCACTTTGGGAGGCTGAGGTAGGCGGATCACTTGAGGTCAGGAGTTTGAGATCAGCCTGGCTAACATGGTGAAACCCCATCTCTACTAAAAATACAAAAAAAAAAATTAGCCAGGCTTGGTGGCGGGCACCTATAATCCTAGCTACATGGGAGGCTGAGACAGGAGAATCACTTGAACCAGGGAGGCAGAGGTTACAGTGAGCCCAGATTGCACCATTGCACTCCAGCCTGGGCGACAGAGTGAGACTGTCTCAAAAAGAAAAGAAAAGGTCTGGGGTTGCTTTTATTAAAAGAAAAAGCCTTACCGAGAATTCCTTTTACCCTTTCTATCTGCCTAAAAATTATTTCTTAGTAACTCCTGTATCATTCCCCCGCTCAAGAGAAGCAAACCTAACTGCTGTCAGGGGGTGTTGGATGGCGATTCTTTCTGGCTACTTCCTGCTGAAAAGGGGTATTGTGTGGGGAACAGCAGTTGTGCCTTCTCCTGAGGTTTATCTAAGGGTTCTTGGAAGAATGGCGTGACCATGTGTAAAAAGTAAAGTAGAGGTTCCTCTTCAAAGACTTTCCGCCCCGTCTAATAAGAAATAAATAGTAACTTCTCTTAAAAGCAAAATTTATTCAAAGACCTGTGCTAACATTCTTAAATATCTGCTAGCCATAATAAAGAAATCAATGTAATTTATGTTCTTAGCTCCCACAATTTAGCCTAAATATTTGCCCTGGCATGCTTATACTGGTCCAAGCAAGCATTAGATCATAGTCTGTTCCTCTTCCTTATTTAAAAGTGTTTTTACCTTTCCCAGCATTCCACAAGTTACTTCCTCCTTCTTTTGTTCTCCTCTACCTTTGCCTCTTTTAAAAAGTTCTAAGTTGCTAGCCAATCGGGACAAATACAGAATGTGAGGTCCCATTCCAGCTATTGGAAACTGGACACAGCAGTAGGGTGGACGCGTCAGGTTATAAATGACCCTGTCTCCTTTGTTCAGTGTACTCTCCTGGCAAAACTGCTGGCGAGTGTACCCTTTCTGCAAGAAGTAAAAATGGCCTTACTAAATAAACTGATGCTCAAGTGCTATTTCTTTACAAGCATTTCAAACACGTGTGGCTTTGCTCGCAGCACCGTTTGGAGTTTGATTGCTTCCAGGTGAAAAGAGATAAATTTTATAAGAAAATTTAAAATATAGGGTTAGAATGTGAGTATTAAGATTACCACCGTGAGTGGGGGTCCTATAGACCCTGAGTTTCATACCTATTAGTTACACCATGGATTGCAATACCAGTATCTCGCTGTACATTACCAGAAACATTAATATAAAAGAAACATTTTCCTTGAGAAAACCATACATTTCCCCTTTGACTTGCCATTAGAGAATAACTTTAAGCTTAGGCCATTTTCCTAACTTGCAATATGCTTGGGAGAAATACATTAGTGGGTGGCTAAAATAACTTTAATGTTAATCTTGACAATTCCTTTCCTTTAATAATTTCATGACTTTCACAGACCCTCTTACAACATACTTAAACTTTCTGACTTGCCCTAAGCATTCATCCTTTAAACAACCAGTCATTTCCTTTTAGGACAAGTATTTACCAATGAAAATCTTTTCTTACATAAAATCTTCCTTTATAATCTTCTCTTTATAGCTTAGAGCACATTATATTACCAACCTTCAGAAAAAGTCCTATTAAACGTAATGATAGTAAAACTTTCATCCTTGCTTCTTATCCACAACTATTACTCCTGCTATAAGCGACACAATTTTGACTAAATCTTTCCTGCAACTATCAATCCTGTTATAAGGTTGATAATTAGGCAAAATATTACAGCAATTAGAATTTTACAACCAGAATTCCACATCTTGGGTGCTACAGTGTGTAGTTCTATTGTAAATAGTAGCGTGAGTATAACAGTTCTTACAAGAGTGGCATAGTGAATAATTTCCATTTAAAACTTTACTTACCAAGATATAACATTTCTCTTTGGGGAGCTACAAAGTTACAAATGCGATTCTATGAATAATTAAAATCTGCCTGCAAATATGCTTTAAAAAGAAGTTTTAATATTTGGTGGTGAACTTTGAGAGTAAAGGGTAGAAATAGCAAAAAGTATCTGGTGAGGCAGGAGTGGGACTGAGTAAGATGAGTAGCCCTCACTCAGTTACTTATCTTTTATGATTTTCAGCTTAAAATCTTCTCTTTCTGGCCCGGCGCGGTGGCTCGCGCCTGTAATCCCAGCACTTTGGGAGGCCAAGGCGGGCGGATCACGAGGTCAGGAGATCGAGACCATCCTGGCTAACACGGTGAAACCCCGTCTGTACTAAAAATACAAAAAAAAAAATTAGCCGGGCGTGGTGATGGGCGCCTGTGGTCCCAGGTACTCCGGAGGCTGAGGCAGGAGAATGGCGTGAACCGTGGGGCGGAGCCTGCAGTGAGCGGAGATCGCGCCACTGCACTCCAGCCTGGGCGACAGGGAGCCTCCGTCTCAAAAACAACAACAACAACAAGAACAACAACAACAACAACAAGAAAAAGAAAAAGATCTCTTTCTCCGCATTGATATTCAGGATATTTCTCTGGGCTGTTAGGGGCTGCTCCCTCAGCTCTTCAGGCTTTGACTTGAGTGTGATGTATTTAGAAGTCGATTCCTGTAACTTTTACTGCCGAGGGGGTTGAAAGAAGAACAGTGTAGGGCCCTTCCCAGCTTGGCTTAGGGAAGGAGACAGAGATGAGAGTTTGTACTAATACCAAATTTCCTGGGTTAAATAAAGGTGATCCTATTTTATTTCTGTAGGGGAATACTGATGTTTAATTTCTTTTTTGGAGCCTTCCTAGATTAGAAGGGCTTGAAGTGCATTAATGCCTTAAAGCTTCCTTGCCTCTGACTTAGCTTTGCCTGATTAGCCATTCTATTTCCTTTGGCTACCTTATCTGTTTCCTTTTGATGTCCCCTATAACGCATGACTGCTATTTTTTGTGGAAGAAAAACTGAGGATAATAACCTGCCAATTTCCTGGCAATATTTTATAGGAGATTCATTAGTGGTAAGAAAATGCCTTTCCTTTTGAATCGCAGCATGAGTATGGAGAGTTAAGAAAGCATACTTGGAGTTAGTATAAATGGCAGCTACCTTCCCCTTGCTTAATTTAAGTGCTCTTGTAAGAGCTATTAGCTCAGCTAATTCAGCACTTGTGCCTGGGGAGAGACGTTAAGAGTGACGACTGCTTATCCTGCCTTATGTACTTCTTGCTTTACCAGCTGTTTGTTAGCTAAGAGCTCCCCCTAGAGGACAGTAATCCTCACACATTATGTGAAGTGTAAACAGTTAAATTATTTCCTAGGGTTAACTTGGAGGCTTTTCTGACTAGTAGAGTTATTATGACTTGGAAGCATGTGTAAATAGGTCCTCCTAACTACAACTATGGTTGAGAAAAATATTGGATTAGAGTTTTTCCTGAGACACCCCTTACGGTCGTACTATGGGAAGAGGAGAGGCCTGGATTAGAGAGGAGAAAAGGGAGAGACTGGCTCTAATGTTTAGAAGGAGGTCTACTTTCCTTCCTTTAATTTCCAGAATTAGCCGGGGCTCCTGTGCTATAATGGCAGTTTGAGCCACTGAAGCCAGGGTTTGAGCCCCAGGACCCATCAGTCCTGCGGGACCATCTGTGAGACTGGTCCTGAACCCAGTGGCCTCCATCTCTGGGGGCAGTTCCATCTTCAGTGGTCTCTGCCACAGCCTGGACAGGGTTGAGGTGGCTTTGTCTTGCTTCCTGGGGGTTCCTTTTTAAAATGCCCTGGGCTGCCGCACCAATAGCAACTAGCGAATGCACCTTGGGGATCCTGGATTTTGCAAACCTGCAAAGCAGCTGCTAGAGCCTCTGTCCTTCTCTTGAGCTTTCTCTCTTTCTTTTGGGCCTCCTCCTGGTTCCTGTTACAAAAGACCAAAGTGGCTACCTTCAGGAGGTTCTCTAAGGTGCTATCTGGTCTTATAGCCTGCTTTTGTATTCCTTTTAATATCGGGAGCTGCCTGTGTAATAAACGTGTCCTTTAGAATGAGCTGTCCCTCGACTGAATCAGGGTATAAAGAGGTGTACTTTATTAGTGCCTCTCTTAGCCTTTCCGTAAAGGCTAGAGGATTCTCATCTGGCTTTTGGTTTATCCTAGACAGTTTAGCGTAATTGAGAGGTTTGGCCCTGGTCTTCCATAGGCCCTTTAATATACATCTTAAAATGTGCCTCCTTTTCCATTCATCTCTTGAGTTATTGGGGTCCCAATCGGGGTTGTTTACCAGAACTGCTTCCCTTCCTAGTGGGAAAGGAGTCTACACGATTTTTTCGCTTTCCCTATCTGCGTTCTTCCCTTTTGGTATATTATAGGAGATATATTGCTCATCCCCGAAATCTCTGCTGCTTGCAGAATTGCCTGCTTTTCAGCTGCTGTGAGGGTATGGTTTAGGAGCAGCATAACATCCCTCCATGTGAGGTGAAACACCTGAGTTAAATTTTGGAAAGCTTCTATATACCTATCAGTGTCGTTAGAAAATCGGCCTAAGTTTCGCTTTATTTGCTTAAGGTCTTGTAATGAGAAGGGAACTTGAAGGGGCCCAAAATAAGGGGGATCCTCAGATGGTTCCCCTGGAAGTTGCTTTTCTAATTTGGGGGAACTGTTCTCCCTGGGCCTGCCCGATGTGATTGCTAAAAGACCTGGGTTGATCTTAAAATGCTTGCACGGGTTTTGTAAAAACACCATGCCCTTGTGTAAAAGAAAATGAGTCACTTATTTCTTCAAAGTCCTGAGGTTAAGGAAGTTCCAGTGTTTCAGAGTGCACTCCAGCGGGTGCAAGCCAAAGATAATCTGTTTCCCATCTAGAAAAAGAAGCAAGAATAAAAGCGTCCTTTTAGTCTCCTCCCTTTCCGTATGACCCAGGGTGGAGGAGGAGACAGGGAGCATCCTCCCACTGTTTTCCCTCCCTGCTTCCCGGGTCCTGGCACCATGTTAAATATGCGACCCATGGCTGTAGGCGTGGTCCTCCAATCCATCCATGGTCCTCCATCCATGGAACTGGATGAACTAAGTGATGGGACTAACCACACTTTACCCATGCAGCTTCAGCTTATCCACCTTGTGTGATTCCCCTTTGACTTCCTAAATCTGTGTGATCCCCCTGGCTCCCCGAAAAATGGATCTAGGGAGAGACTGTGTCGCCTTAGGGCAAGGCTCCTTTAACGGAGGCAGTGTGCTAGATTGCCTGCTACTATGGCCCGTGCTAAAGCATTTACTCTTAGACAAATGGTTCCGGTTAACTTCTGGACTTAAAATCCCCTTACTAATTAAATATCATTTTAATCGGAGACAGAATAGTTTCCTTAAAAGAACATAGGAACTAAATGGCCATTTTTCTGCTGATGGGTCAATATCGTGACAAAATTTGGCTGCAGAAGACATCTTACTCCTAACTGCAAAAGGCAGAAATTTCCCTTTTACAGAAGTAGATCAGAGCCTAGCTTCCAGTAGAAAAGGCGCAAAAAGGAAAAGTTGGAAAGCTGTAATATACTGCAGAGAACCAGCAATGTGTCTTACGGAGAGGATTTTTTTCTTTTCCTTTTTTTCTTTTTTTTTTTTTTTGAGACGGAGTTTCGCTCTTGTTGCCCAGGCTGGTGTGCAATGGCGCCATCTCGGCTCACCGCAAACTCCGCCTCCCAGATTCAAGCGATTCTCCTGCCTCAGCCTCCTGAGTAGCTGGGATTACAGGCATGTGCCACCACGCTCGGCTAATTTTGTATTTTTAGTAGAGATGGGGTTTCTCCGTGTTGGTCAGGCTGGTCTCGAACTCCGTACCTCATGTGATCCGTCCGCCACGGCCTCCCAAAGTGCTGGGATTACAGGTGTGAGCCACCGTACCTGGCCAGAATTTCTATTTCCACTAGGTGGCGCTATTGTCTTAGGAATACCATGTCTTACCAGCGAATTAGTAGCAAGTAACCTCACCACGTGGTGGGGAGGTGGTGGTGTGGTGGGGGAGGTGGCATTGGGGGGATGGCGTGGAGGGGTGGGAATCTCTGTTCCTAGAAGATTGCAAGGACATTTTCCTGAGCTATATCCCCAGTGCTACAGCATTTCCTGATCTTGCTTAACAGGATTACTCCCTTAGGCTGTAAAAATTCCTGCACATTCTACACACACAGAGAGAGTAAGAGACCACGGATAGAAAGAGAAAGAAAGTTTGGCGACAGAATAGCAGGAAGAGAGCCTTGAGATTAAAGGACAGATTTGAGTTTGAGATTTGCTCCACTCTGTACTCACCAATCCGTTGAATGAATTCCCGGCCAATGCACCAAAATGATATGGCTCCGATGACTGGAGGAACACCAGAGTCCTTGGTCTCATGATGACCGACATGGACACAAGTCTGGAGTGGTTTTAAGGAGCAGAGAATTTAATAGGCAAGAAAGAGGAAAGGAAGAAGAAAACAGCTCCCCCATACAGAGACAGAGGGAGGGGGATCCAAGCAAAGAGAAACCCTGTGTGTGGCAGAAAAGTGGTTGGTTATACGGGAGGCTGGAGGAGGCGGTGTCTGATTTGTATAGGGCCCAAGGGATTGGTTTGAACAGGTGTGTCATTCACGTAGCTGGCAAAAAACCTGGCCATCCCAACTTAGCCCTTTAGTATGCACATGCGGGCCTGCCATGATGTCCCAAACATGTGGAGTTATCTGGAGGTGCCCATGACACTTGGCATACCTGGTGACAAGAAGAAGAAGGTGGGAATTGCCATATTGGGTGGACCCAGTTTCTAATGACGTGCATTTGCATATCAAAGCTTGCCCGCCTGGCCCTCTTTAAGTACCTTTCTGTTAGAAAAGAAATAGTTTGGAGGTTGCTTTCATTAAAAGAAAAACCCTGACTGAGAACTCCTTTTACCTTCTCTATCTGCCTGAAAATTATTTCTTAATAACTCCTGTATTAGCCCCACCATCCACCCAGAGTCACTCAGGCCAAAACCCTAGAGGTCCACCCTCGATTCCCTTCTCCCGTTTAACTCACATCCAATCCACCATAAAGTCTTGTCGAGATGACCTCTAAAGCATTTCCCAAATGGATGCAGCTTCCTCCCTCTCCACTATGTCCAGCCTGGTGAAAGCTACCATCACATCCTGCCTGGAGTACTACAGCAGCCTCTTGCTTGGCCTTCATATTTGTATTCTCTTCCCCTTTCGGGTGTTCTCCATAGACCATCTGGAGGTTGTCTTTTTAATCTAAGTTGATCACATCACCCTCCTGGTTAAAAGCTTCCAGGGGCTGTCCATCTGATTTGCAAAGAAATCCAGACCCCTCTCCCTAGAAGCTGCATAGGGCCTGGGTCCTGCGGACCTTGCCAGTGCCTGCCCTTGCCTCCCTCACCCCTCCTGGCAGTAGGCTTCAGCCATGGTTGTCTTTGTGTCTGTCCCCTAAGTTTGTTCCTGCCTTAGAGACTTGTATAAGCTTCCTCTTCTGCAATGCATGCCCCTGAAAGACAGTTAATTTCTTTTAATTGCCTGAGTTTAGCCTAAACATCATCTCTTTAGGCCCAAACTAGAGGTCCTCCCATCATTCACCTATCACAACTCCTGATTATATTTTCAATACATTATGTACAAGGTGATCTAAAAGTTTTCATGCATTTCTGTACTTGTATAGGAATGGCCAGTGATGACAGGTTCATCTTGACCAGTGATGAGAGTTTCCAGTTCTTCTTAGTCAGGAACCCAGATAAGGATTTGGGTTAATTTCCTTTCTTATCAGATGTGCCATGGAGCTTTTTCCCAGTCATTTTGGATCAAGCGAAGTCCTATTCCCAGATGCTTAGTAAACATTACTGTCCTGCATGCAATACCATCCTGGCCCTCCTGCCTCTAAACCAGGCATTATCTCCATCTGACTCTGCCATCTTGCTTTTTGTACTGTTTTGGCCTGTAGACCTCTAAGGGGATGGGCACCAAGGCAAAGGTCACTTGGCTTAGGTAATATCCTTGGGACCACTCTCCTTAGTAGCCCTGGAACTAGCCTTGCTAGGGTAAAATCCTAGGAGGGGCAAGTAGTTGTCCTCCAAAGCCACCCACTTTTAGTCTTTTTGCAAAACCTTCTTTTCTAGTCATATTCTCGATTTCTTCTAGACATGTTTTGTGATCAGTAAGTGTTGAGTGAAGGTATTGGTCAAAGGGGAAAATTTAGAGGTCAAGTCTATATCAGAGGGAAAGGGAAAGGCACCAAGAATATGCCAGTTAACACAATTTCTATTTAAGGGGCTAGAATGATACATTTAGGAGAAACAGCACAGGCTTCTAAACATGGTAGGACAAGAGAGTCAAACAAGAAGAAAACCCAGGCTGTTCAGTGGTGGGTTTGTCTTTGTCCAATATTAAGATTGAGAGCTTCTGACCAAGCTGAGGAAAAGCTAGATTGAGCTGCCTGGCATGTTCTCCCCTGGATAGCCTGGCAGCAGACACCCCCTGTGCTATGGCATTGCAAGGAAAAGACAGTGGGTAATTAAAGCCCGTGGTCATCTGGAGCTCAGCCACCTTGTGGTTCCCTTGGTTCCCTTTGGGGAAGGTTGGGGAACATGGGGAAGGGAGGGCTTTGTACCACAGAAAGGAATGGCTGGTAGGAATGGGAGATTTTGAGTGAAGCATAAAAAGTTATTTGGAGCCATGGGTTGGAGAGAGCCTCTAAGCATGGGGACCTCCTGCTCCTGCTTTTAATCAGACCAAGAGGGTAAGTAATAGATCCGGAGTTATATCCACATTGTCTCATGTGGCCTCCTCATTGTCATTGCTGCTTAAACAAAATGGGCATAGGGAGAGGGAAATGTTCATCCTCCTTGTGCCTCGGGAGGGTGCCGGGGTAGAGTGATCTTGGCAGCCTGTGGCTTCGTCACTGCCTCCCATGGGAGGACTGGGCCTGCCCAGAGCACAGAATAGTAATGGGTTGATACTATGCCTTTTTTATTTTTCGTCTCCAAACACAGGTGAATCACTTTGATTTAAGTTTCTTATAAAATGCTGTATCAGCTACTACTAGTTAAATGAGTTACTATTTGTCAAGAGCTTAGAACAGCACCTGGCACTGTCACATATTAATTTAGTAGCAATTGTCACCATGATTGCAGCTGTGGTGTTTCAGGTACTAACTTCTGGCAGCCTGTATAGATAATCAGCTCTCAGTGTTACTCCGGGGAATCAGGGCAATGCTTATCAGCTCAATTTGCCTGATGGGCTTAAAAGACATGAAAGGGAAAAGGTTGAGGGAACCGCTCCACATGCAGTTATTTGTTCTGACCAAATATCCGACATTGGTGCCTTCTGAAAATGAAATATGCTCCAATGGCCTCATGTACACATGCATGTGTTGCATAATGTGTGTGAAGTGTACCTCTGTTACTGAAACAGGATCCTATTTATTGACAATGGTGAAAGAAACATGAAGACGGTATTTATTGGGTCGGCTATGAGGTCATCAGACCACTTAGAGCCATCTCTGAGCCACCTAATACCTGGCCCCATTGATGGGGGGGGGGTCCCATATGATTCCACTTGGATTCAGAGACTAGGTTGATAAGCCTTCACAGTCAGGCCTCCTACTGAAATAGAATACTTGTTTTCTAGTCACAACCCTGCTAACCGAAACAGGATGCAGTCCAAACAGGTTAAAGTTAAAAAAAACAACAAAACCAGCAGATGGTGACAAAATGATTGCTAGCTGACCTCATTGCTCACTTGCATTAGACACTCCCACCAAGCGCCATGACAGTTTACAAATGCCATGACAACAACTCGGAAATTCCCACTCCTTTCCATGGCAACAACCTGGAAGTTACTGCCCTTTTCCTAGAAAGGTCTCAATAACCTGCCCCTCAATTTGCATTGACCCATCCTTTAACTTGCATATTATTAAAAGTGGGCTTTTGAGAGTATAAATATAGTTGACGAGAGTCCGTACACTGCCAACTCTAGGTGCACTGCTTATGAGTTAGCCCTACTCTGCAAGGAGCAGTACCAGTCAATAAAAGATTGCTAACACAATCGGCTCACCCTTAAATTCTTTCCTAGGCAAAGCAAAAATCTCTCCAGGGCTAAGCCCCAGTTTTGGAGCTTGCCTGTCCTGCATCACTACCATCATCCTGGAACACGAGGAAAGGAAAGCCAAGGCCCTCCTGGGGACATAGGGCTCCCTCCGCACACCCACCCTCACACCTCCTTGGGCACAATCACTGCCCGCCTGTTCCTTGGCCCATAGATGTTCCCGAACCCCGTGAGTGAAGTTATACCACTGGATTACTGGCAAGAGGGATTTAAGCCCAGGTCCCTAAAGTAAGATCCTGTGTTAGGCTGCCTGTCTCTGAACCACTTCACTTGTAAGGACAGGCTCGCTTTCTCTCTCTGTACTCAAACATTCGCTCCTTTACTGTTTGTCCCTGCTCTGCTCTGAGAGTCTCATATCAATTGGCTCCTGGGGCCTCTTACTTCTCTTGATAGTTTTCTTCCCTGTTTGCAGAATCCCCTCCACCTGCAGACCAGTGTGAGCTGGCTCTCTCCCCGCACTGCCTCAGCCCCGCAGCCTGACTGCCAGCAGAGTCTCACTCCGGTTGCACTGCCTCAGATGCCTGCTGTTCTGGGCAGACACCTGCCCAGGTTGCCGCCAGCCTGCCTTGGCGCTCTGAGGGGTTCTGGGACCCAGGTCCCCTGTCTGGAGACTTGTCTAACCCTCTTTAATTCCAGGGGTTTCAGTCAGGCTTCTACTGGAAGCAGAGTCCCAGCTGTGTGTCAAAGAGGCTTCTTCTGCCACCTACCAGTGCTTGTTGGAAATGCCAGATTCCCCCCGGGGACCCCTGAGTAAATGCCAGAGCATCTTTTGGGTCATTTCAACCTTTGATGAAGGCTGCTGGTGGGATAGGTGGGCATGGATTACTATCATAAAGTGTTCTCTTTCTCTCCCCTCCCCTCTTTTATTTGACGTAACTAGCAGGGTTTTCCCCTGCCCCCATGTGATTTAGAACAGTGTACTCACTTTTCAGAATGGCATTGATCTGCTCTTCTGAAACATTGAGCCATCCTGACCAGCTCATTTGGTGGAAAAAACAATTTCACATGCGTGGCGTGACCTAGCCACACAACCCGTTTCTGAACCACGTGGAGTCCTGGGGGTTCATGTTGATGAGCCCTGAGGGGGTGAACTTTCCTCCTCCTTTGGCCCCCAAGGACCACAATGGCCCACAATGGCCGCTCTGGGCATTCCTTGGGAGCCAGAGACAGAATCTGCACAAAGACAGAAAAGCACCTGGAAGGCAAAGGAGTGACAGGAACATTTCACTTTGTATCAAGATGTGAGAGCAGAGTTTCGTTTTTGTTTTCCAAAACAGGTACTTTGTCTCCATACACCTGAATTATGAACCAGCCTATTCTCTTCTAAAAGAAGAATAGATACTTGATGTTATCAGAGCTGCTAAGTCTTGATTTTTTAAAAATCTTAATTTTATTGAGGGACATTACATTTATTTTGTTGGGGGGCCATTCTAGTCTGCTTTCATTTTCTCTGCCCGCTTTCATACCTTCCTGAAATACACCATGCGGGTTCATACCTCTGGGCCTGGGCTCATGCTCTTCCCGGTGCTGGGGCAACCCCTGCTCCCGAAGCGCCTCTCCCACTCAGTAGCCAAATTCCCACTCATCCTCCAAGACTCAGCGCAGACATACATTTCTCAGGAAGCCCCCCTTCTCCCCTTTCCAAGGGGACAAGACCCCTCCCCACTGACCTCCTATATCCCATGCATACATCTCCCTTCTCCCTACCCATGTATCAATCAAAATTTCAGCTGTGTCTCTCTTTCCTTCTACACAGTAAGCTTTTTGGGAATAGTTGGTGAATTTTAATCATGGTTGCATTGCTCTCAGTCATCACAAACCTTGACACGTCATTGATGCTTAAGTTGGCGTTGTTTACCCCTGTGCTGTCCTCTTTACGTTATTGCATTCTAGATACTTTCCTTGCTTGAGAAGAAACTACATGTCCTTGGGCACACCTGCATGACATTTTCTTACTGTTTTAAAATTTTTATTTTTGAGACAGGCTCTCCACTCTGTCACCCAGGCTGGAGTTGCAGTGGCAGAATCATAGTTCATGACAACCTTGACTTCCTGTGCTCAAGAGATCCTCCTGCCTTAGCCTCCCAAGTAGCTAGGGCTACAAGCACATGCCACCACACCTGGCGGTTTAAAAAAAAAAATTTGTAGAGATGGGGTCTTGCTGTGTTGCCCAGGCTGGTCTCCAACTTTTCACCTCAGGCAGTCCTCCCACCTCAGATTTCCTTACTTTTATAGTGGTTAATATGTGAGGCTGCTCAACACATTTTGTTTTGTAATGTCTTTGCTCTATTGTCTGTATCAGCAGTTAAACTTTTTGGTCTCAGACCCCCTCAATAATCTTTTTTATTTTGAGACAGGGTTTTGCTCTGTTGCCCAGGCTGGAGTGTAGTGGTGCACTCATAGTGATCATAGCTCACTGCAGCCTTGAACTCCTGGGCTCAAGTGATCCTCCCACCTCAGCCTCCCGAGTAACTGGAACTGCAGGTGCACACCCTATGCTTGGCTAATTTTTAAATGTTTTGTAGAGACAGGGTCTTGCTACGTTACCCAGGCTGGTCTCAAACTCCTGGGTTCAAGCAATCCTCCTGCCTCGGCTCCCGAAGTGCTGAGGTTAGAGATATGAGCCACCACATGTGGCCCATAGATGGAGCTGCCCAGGGAGAAGGATTAGGAGAATGAAAAGTCCATACAGCGCCCCTGATCTCGGCTGCCCCTGTCCTCTTCTCAGACTAACACTTCCATCACAGGCATCTATATTCTGGCAGAGGCTGTTTCCCCTCTGCCACCAGGAGGCTCCTCGGGGGCAGTGTGTGCAGATGTGCTTTGTCTCGTAGTTGGATGATGATCATTCCTGGGCTGTGGGACCCTAGAGCCATTCAGACTAAGGTATACATCTCTTCCAGTTCTCCATGTGGCCTCTGAAAAAAGAGTGATTAACTGTTCTGTTTAAATAAAGTTTCGGTGCCACCAAAGAAATAGTACTCGAATATAAAATTTTCCTCTTAATTCTCAGCAAGGCAAGTTACTCCTACAGAAGGGTGCACCCTCACAGATGGAGCAATGGTAAGAGCACACTTGGACAAGGGAGGGGAAGGAGTTCTTATCCTGGATGCACGTGGCCCCTGCTGCTGTGTCCTTCCCCTATTGGCTAGGGTTAGACCACCCAGGCTAAACTAATTCTGATTGGCTAATTTAAAGAGAGTGACGGGGTGAGTGGTTTGGCAGGAAAAATGGTTATGCAGGGTGGAGAATGAGTTCGGGTGGAGCAGGTGGCAGGTAATCGGAATGAGTCAGGGTGGAGCATGTAATCAGAATGAGTCAGGATGGAGCAGGTGATCGAAAAAGGTTGCTTTGTGAGGAAGTTAAGTTTAAAAGTAGAAGGCAAAGAATTGAACATACCGACATATTGATTCTTTGGAAGGAAATTTAGAACTCATATCTAACAGTTCCATGGCTCATCCCCAAAACAAGTCTCCAGGCTTCTCAGATTCAGCTTCGGTCATTAAGTGATTCTCTTCTACAAAGAGGGCAGGAACTCATCTCAGCCTCCAACCCCATCCAACATGCACCTTCCCAGTGATGGAGGGGAAGAGCTCCCTAGAGTGTGCAAGGCACACTCTACAAGGACAAGGCAAGAAGGGACGAGTTCTTAGTCTGGAAAGTCTCTGGCTTGCGTGTTGGGGTGGAGTTTCCAGAGCACAGAGTTTCCCCTGCAGCTATGAGTGAACGGTAGGAAGGTGGGCAGAAGTTGTGGAAGCAACTTTGGAAAGTCCCTGGTGGGTCACAGGTCTGGATCAGAAAACAAGTGCACGAAGGGAAGGCAGAGAAACTGGGAGAGACACCGCATAGGCAGCAGTTAACCAAGAAAATAGATGGCAGATTAACCCAGTGTCAGGAAGGTAAGTACAAAAGTGTGTGAATAGATAGATAGGCAGATGGCATGGATATTTAGTCTAAAGGTGGACTAGCAGACAGCTGGTCAGTCAATTGACTGGGATGATGAGTTGGTTGTAATAACAAAGGTGACTGCCTAAGCTATCCCAGAAGGAGGTTTAGGACACCATCTGAGGACCATGTCAGACTTTGGGGCCAGTATCCCCAATCCTTCCCCATTTTCATCTCATTTTTCCTGCCTTGCCCCTTTACCCCAACACTAACACTATATCTTCAATTCTGCCCAGATCACAGTTCATAAGATGTGCTCAGGATACAAGAAATGGGTTCTAGCAAACTGTTTAGAAACTTGAGGTACTCATATCCCAAGTCACACTTAGTTTCCAAACATCATCAATCCCCCAAAAGAGAACTCCTGGGCTCTGACCTGGAATCCTTCTTTCCCCATTCCCCAACCTGAAGCATGTGCTCCTCACCATTGTCCTCTGGTAATTGGTGATGATATTTGTCACCTTCTAGCACAGTGGAGTTGACATCTTGTTCTTTAAGATGTCTTTGTTTTGACCTCTAGTAACTTGAAGGTTCCTCCAAAATTGCTTTCCAACAAATATAGAAGAGAGGGGATTCAAGAAGAAAGGAAGGCTAAAGGGAGAGAATAAAGAGAATGATGATCCTTGGTGGAGAAAAGAAGAGGAGCTGATCTAGGGAGAGGATTAAAGCTGGACCATGGCTTCAGGGGAGCAGAAGGTATGGGTCAGTCTCAGGACAGGTGACCAGACCTGGAGCTGGGAATGCACTGGACCAAGTAGTGCTCTGCTGACAGGATTTCCTCCTGGGTATGTGCCCAGCCAGCTACCTTGATGGAGGCGGTCTACCTGTTACCAATAGAAGGTGTCTGAGTTATTGGCGGTGAATCCATTGGGTCCGCAGCAACTTCAATTCTTGCCTTCTCAGAAGAATTTGATGGAGGGATATAAAGCAGAAACAGAGACCAAGGAAAGTTTCAGAGAAGGAGTGGAACTTTATTAAAAAGTCCTTAGAACAGGAAGGAACACTTGGAAGAGATCCAAGTGGGCAATTTGGAGAACAAGTGCAAGAGCAGTGATTAACCATGAGCCTAGGACTTCACAGGCTCACCTCTTTCCCATGATTCTTCCCTTAGGGTGGGCTGCCCGCATGCACAGTGAAATCCTTACCCTTTGGAATTGAGCATGCGCAGTGTGTTTAGGAAGTCCTATGCATGCCCATCTGAGGCTTTCTTCCTGTTTCCAGTGGAGTGTACCCAGGAGGTCATACTTCACCATTTTGTCTCTTAATTTGCATGCCTAGGAAGTTGCTTTTTCCAGGGTCTGCATTCAATTAACACTTTAAGGTTAACAGCTGTGGATCCTCAGGAGGTTGTCTCTCCCTGGCGCTCTCGCCCTGCTGCTGAATTATCATTTTTAGGGAGGCAGTGTGATAATTGTCGAAACATCACATTCCTAGTGAGTGGTGGAGAAGAACCCTCTTCTGCCCTGCTCATGCCTCTCTAACTACCTGTAACATACCCTGGCTGGAGCCAGGAAGGTGTCTGAGATGCCCTCATTTTAGCAGCAACTTGTAGTGCCTCCATAAAGTTGCCAATGTTCCTTCTGGAGAGATATCCTTTTCATTGTCTTCTAAGGAACCTAGAAGAACTGTAAATGTCCCTGTAAGGAATAAAGATGGAGGGGAGTGTTTCTCTCCTGCTGGAGGTGGGAGTTTCATTGGAGGTGTTTTATCATGGTGGGGTGAAAACATCAGAAAACTTCAGTTTGGCTTCCAACACAGACTCTGCCCCTCACTACCAACTATCCTCAGGTAACTTGCTTAACTCCTGGGGCCTCCATTTCTTCACATGCGAAATAAGTTCAATAAAAATTAACATGAGAATCAAGAGATGAAATCCGTGCTAATAGATATCAACTTTCAGGATCTCAGCCTGTTCTTTGGGCTACATCTTTTCACTTGAGGTCATACGTGCATCTTATGGGTAGTAGAAAGTTGTAGGGGTGAGGGGTGCTTGTCCACAGGTCTATGAATAATTGATTACCACTAACTACAAACTCCTATCACAGTCACATGTACCTTTTGTTTAGTTAATAGTGATAGAAAAGAAAAAACACAGCAAATTAATTTAGGCAGGGCTGTGTTTACAACCAGTCACATTTTTCTCCCATTTTAACATCGGATAGGTCTGAGAGTGGTCTATCTCTCTGAGCGGTCTCCTCAGAAACTGCCCAGGGGATTTCCTATCCAGGGCAAGAAGCTGGGATAGGTGGCCTCTTCTGGTCCCTTCCAGCCCTCTACGGTAACTTAAGGCTGCACCTCTTAGTTAAACAGGAGAGTTCCCTGCTCCCCCACCAACCCTGTGCAGGATATGCCACACAGGTGTGGCTTGTCTGGCCGCCACTCAAACCCCTTACGGGAGGGAGAGCACACAGACAGGCAGATGCAGGAGCTGAGGTGACTGCTTTTGGGATTTGGCCCCATGGTGGCATCTAGGGGTGTGTGCCTATGACTCTCAAAGTCCCAGTGGGCATGCTACAGTGCTCTTTTAGCTCTACTGCCCATAGATGGCTTAAGTGTTAACCAGCTCAGTGTCCTCTTGATACCCGGGTTCTTGTCTGGCATCCAGGAAGAATCAGGTCACACATGGACTTGAAGGATGGTGAATGCGGGGATTTTATTGGGTGATGAAGGTGGCTCTGAGAGGGAAGGATGGGGCGCTGGAAAGGGGATGGAGTGGGATGATGATCTTCTCCTGGAGTTTGGCTGTCCCATGGCAGATCTCTCTGACTGTCCCCAGCCGAACTCCTCTCGACATTCGGATGCTCCTTCTTTTCTCTCCTTCTCCACTGCGTCACTCTTCTGCTCCCCTGCTCTTTTGTTCATCTTCTTGTCTGCTTGTGAAGCCTGGGGTTTGGGGTTTGTATGGGTACAGGATAGGGGGGTGTGGCAGTCCAAAAGCAACATTTGGCTTGAAAACAGGAATGCCTGTTCCCATTTAGGGCTGTGGGCTTCCAGGCTTGGGGGTGGGGCCTTTGCTGGGGAACTACCCTCTTCTACCCAGTATTTCCCTGTCTCCTGTCTGTATCATTAGGACTGTAATGTGCAGGGCAGCTATGTGGACTGGAAGCACCTTGTTTCACAATCCTAGGAAGAAGGTCTGCTGTCTTCTGGGCCTCTTCCCAGGACCTCTGCCTCTCCAGGTTTGGCTTCCCAGTCCCTCACCAAAGCATTAGGTTCATGAACACCCCGTTGTGGCTTCAGCTGGAGGTGGAGGATGGAGGTGAGGGAAGGTGCCTTCCAGCGTGGGTGTGGGGGCGGAAGGCAGAAGTGGATGAGAACCCTCAGACAGGACAGAAGAAGGGGTAAGCCAGTTCAGAGGTGGGTGCTGCCCTCACTTCTGCTCTGTCCCCCACCTCCCTAAAGTGAATGGACTCACCCACTTTGCCCTTGCCAACCTGAACAAAGAAAGTGCCATTCACCTAGCTGTGAGGTGGGCTTTTTGTGCATACATGAGAACGGGCTGCCCAGCCACCACCTCAGGGTGCACAGAGGAGGTGGGGCACAGCCTGCTCTCTGGGCTCTGTCCTGAGGACAGACCTGGACAAGGGCCTTCACCTCTGACCCCTCCCAGCAGGGGAGGGGAGGGTGTAGAGCTAGATAAAACCAGTGTTTGCTGTTTTAATTACCTCCCTCTAAGGGCATTTTCATATGAAACTTTGTTCTATATTACATTAAGGAAGAGTGATTTTTAGAGGAGCTGGGGGAGGAGGCCCCAGGGGTTTTCTTCTCCCCACAGATACATCTGTCAGTGAAATAAAACACAGCGAAGCACTCAGCACAATGCCCGGCACATCGTAAGTGCTCATTGAACATCATAACCCTCTCTTCCATTGCAGTTGGTAAAAACAACACTCAGGATGCTTCAGCCTGGTGAAGAAGGAAAATAAAGCCCAAGTTCTAGCTCTGGGGCCTTGTCCTCTATGTGGCTGCTCAAGGATAAGGGCAGGTCTGGCTCCAGGATTGCTCTTGCTCAGAATGGGCCAGTATGTCCTGTGGGTCGTGGTCCCTTCAGAAGTGGTGTTGCCTGCCCTCTGCCATTCTGCGTCTTCAGCTCAGCCCACTGTGTCTTTCCAAAGCACAGGCCATATTCTTCTCCTCCCGTTCTACCTGGAGCTCCCATGGCTCATCTTTCCTTCCAACTGGGGGGGTAGTGATATAGTTTGGATCTACCTCCCCACCCAAATCTCATGTTGAATTGCAATCCCCAGTATTGGAGGCGTGGCCTGGTGGGAGGTGACTGGCTCATGGGAGTGGATTACTCACGAAGGTTTAGTCCCATCCCCTTGGTGCTGTCCTTGTGATAGTGGGTGACTTCTTGCAAGATCTGGCTGTTTAAAACCATGTGGCACCTCACTCTTTCTCTCTTGCTCCTGCTCTGGCCATGTGACATGTCTGCTCCCCCTTCATCTACTAACATGATTGTAAGTTTCCTGAGGCCTCCCTGGAAGCCAAGCAGATGTCAGCATCATGCTTCCTCTACAGCCCACAGAACTGTGAGCCAATGAAACCTCTCTTCTTTATAAATTACCCAGTCTTAGGTATCCCTTTATAGCAATACAAGGACAGACAAATACAGGTGGGTAGCCCCGAGAGAGCTCTGCCCCTCCCCTGTCTGAGTGTCTCAAAGCCAGGATCTTTTCCTGGTACCCTCAGGTGCTTGAGGATAAAGTGGCCCCCAGCATGCAGGGTCTATAGAAAGAAAGATGGAGGGAGGTACTGAGCTGAGCACTGCTAGGAAAAGGAAGAACACTTAGCTCACACCTCAAGAAGTTGTGACTAGGTGAGCAAAAGCCCCCATCCCAGTGGGGAAAGTGTTACCTCCCAAGGCACATCCTGGCATAGGAAGATCTGGAGCTCAGGTGGGATTCAGGCTCAGCAGGGCCTCAGGCTCACTATCCTTTGCTCAAAGACACTATCAGAAGAAGATATCAGGAACTTCTCAGCTGTGCCAAACAAAGGCCCAAAGGCCCAGCTGTCTACAATGGAGGGGAGGGACAGCCTTCTCTCTAGGGCCACACTGCCCTATATCGTATGGCCCAGGACCCTCCTTTCAAGTTGGTTCTTTGCATACTCAAAGCATCATCTCATCTGTTACTATATTTGTGACTCACAAGAAGCTTTTGAGTCAGGCAGGGCATGTGTTAACCCAATTTCATAGAAAGGGAAACTGAGGCATAGGGTGGGCTAAGTGATTTGGGCTAGAGTGAGTGGGGGTCAGAACTCAGATCTTCTTGGATCCAAATCAGACACCCTTCTCCCACGTAAAACCCTCACCCTAATCTTAACACTTTTGTGGCTCCATGGCTTCCTCAGTGATTTTAGGAGGAAAAAGGCCACAGCAAGTGTGTTGGTGTGCACATGTGCATGTGTGCCTGTGTGCTCGTGTGCATGCCTGCATGTGTATGTGATGCCTTACTTGCTGAGGGAAGGGCAGGAGGGTTGGCAGTCTCTGATTTTTTGTCTGGATCTCGGACATTTTACGTGCCACTCCTGAGACAGCCAGAGACCTGTAGTGTGTCAGGACAAGGGGTCTCAGGAGGAGACATGTGAAGTAAGGGTGAGTGAAGACCCTGAGTCCCACAGGGAGTCCAGCCTGTTCCCCACAGAGATGTGAGCTCTGCAGTCCTCTGCCCAGGCCAGCCAAGGTTTGGGGAAGGGTCTGGGGGAGGCAGGGGCAGATCCATGGAATTTCTCCTCTGGACATGATTTTGGGAAGAAGAGGAGATCAAATATTATAAAACATCTGCACAGCATGTGGCATCTCATTAGGGGGATGGGACCACACCCATATCTCTCTCTCTCTCTCTCTCTCACACACACACACACACACACACACACACACACACACACACACACGACTCCCTTTTTTAGCTTGGCCTTTCCTCACCAGGAAAACTTTCAAGCATTCTTTTTAGGCTGTAACCAATAGTCATCAATATGTTTTCCAGTGAGACTCAGTGCACACATCCATATATTAACAATTAACAAATTTTTTATGCAAAGCCTTATAATAAAGTCCCAGAAAAGGACACTGTTGGCAAATCTAGGGCTGAGATTTTTGTTCTTGCTGGAATTTTTGGAGTAGAGTGTTTAAACTGCAGACCTAGATCCATTAGGAGGTCGTGACATCAATTTGGTCAGCCCTTTAAAAGAATTGCACAGTGTAGCACAATAGGAAATATCAGAGTGCATCAAAAGTCACAAATGTTAGTATTATGTGGTGAAACATTTGGTTCATTGCCAATATGTGTGTGTATCTAGAAAGTCTCCTTGTAAAATGCCTTGATGACAGTGGGTTACATTAAAAAACATTAAAGACACACTGTTTTTAGAAGCTTTCCTGAAAGTACTTTATATTGAGGAAGGACTAGCTTTTTAGGCTTGTGAAGAAAGGAAAGGTGTGGCTGGAGGTGAAGGGAGGGAGGCCCCGGGCCCCTCAGGGGGTTGGGGGGAAAGGCTCCAGACAAGCTAGCACAGCATGTGGCTTCCTGGGGTCCAGAGCTTTCTGGTCCAGAATTGGGTTGGAGGAGTAGCAGAAGTGTCTCCTGTCCCCCTGATGAAGAAAGAAGAATCTAGTGAATAAGGAAAAGCATGGAAATAGTAGAGACAAGGAGCTCTTGACAAATCCATCAACCACCCTGTGCCTTCATGTCCCCATCAGCAAAATAGGATGGTGGGGGTGATAGACCTTCATGTTCCTGACAAAATGAAACACAGTCAACACAAAACCAAAAGAAACATTGGAAGCTTCTTAAGAGATGACATTCCCTAAATTGATTTTTGGGGAATACAAACTCATGCACAACCACCTATCCTAGAAGTCAGGAAAAGTGTATGCTTTAACCCATTTTGGCTCTTCTTGAGTGCCTGGTGCATGCAGGCACTCTGATAGGTTGTGAATAAACCAGTCCCCATACTCAAGGAGGTTTTCCAAACTAGTTAGGAAGCTAAGAGGGTCTCAGAAGAGGAAGATAACATGGAGAGCTCTAACTAATTGCCCACAGGGTGGTACAAACCCTGAGGGGTACAGCCATTCAGAGAAGGTTGAGGGCAGGATGAGCTTAACATGTACGATGCACAAGGTCAAACAGCTGGAAGTGCAAGAGTAGGGGTGACTTGTCTAAGAGGAAATATAATAGGGAGGGCTTGACTAGTTGAGAATGAGAGCAAGGCTTGGAGGCATAAGAATGTGAGGTCTCACTCAACAAAGGCTGTTGCACGTCTGTAAAGACTCAAAGTCACTGTGCCAGGAACAAGGGTGGATTCACAGAAGATCAAGGCAGCAGTGTCTCTCCTCAGGGTGGGGGTTGCACCAGGGACCAGCAAGTTGATGGCTTCATCTGCAAAAGGAGGTTAAAAGGCAACTGTGCCTCTCAGACTGCAGGCCGACACACTAGGGATTGTGAAATCAATATTTTAATGAATGAGAACAGACTGAAGTAGACTAGAACTTACCAGTGTGCAATGTATTCACACTGGAAATTTAGCTGCACAATAATCCATCCACCGACATGGAGAAATGACCCAAGAAACTGCCAGCAACATGGTCAAGAGTAGAGAATGGCATCCAAGGAAAACATGTCAGGGAGATTCCCTGGACGGAATACCTCTTGGCCTGGCTGGCTCCAGCTGAGATACTGAAATGCAAGATTCCATTAGGTGCATCCGTGCGTGATGGGAATGTGTCAAATATATTCTCACTGTGAGTCACCATCAAAAGACCTGGATGCCATTGACTTAATACCTCCCAAGATTCCTTACAGTGCATCTAGTTGCTGACTGAATGATTGTATGCTTGTTGTAGGCAGCTGCTTATGTGCCCTTGGTGATGAAGAGGTTGGCAGGGCAGGGAGAAATGGGGGGTGGCTGATAAGTCTGGGTTAAAGTTGGAGAGCAGCTGTGGCACATAGCAGCAACACATGCAAACACAGGAGCCGAGGCCTTTCCCTGAAAGAACCTAAAGGGCCTAGAATGTTTTCAACTCTCTTGACACCTTTGACCTGAGACTGCCTTCACTGTCCTAAATCTGAAATGCAAGTTCATAGGACAGGCTGTGGATGAGGAGCTGGAAACTCCCAACCAGCAGGTCTGGAGACATCTGTGATGCCGGGGGCACGGTGGAATTTCCTGGGAGGGAAATGCATCAACCTGTATGTAAGCACAATATGGGGGGGCAGGGGGAGGATCTCTTCACTAAGGAAAAGAGCAAACTGCTTTCTGGGGGTGGCAGCTGTCCCTACGCAGTGGCATTTCTCAGCCTCCAGGAACGAGCCCCAAGAGTTCTGTGTTCCAGGCTCTCCTACCGGGGTGATGAAAATCAACAATTGACACCCCCAGAAGAGGACAAGAGAGACATCTGGCAATCCCTGAAGACGGGCTCCCTCTGCTCTGCCTCACTATTAAACACACACATTGCTCTCCAGATGTGGCCAGTGGTCCCCTCTGAGGGGACACCGGTCAGTGCTGAGGGTTGATTGAGAGATCATGGAAACCTGACTCAAACAACCTCCCCAAAGTGGGCTGGGCAGATTTTCAAAGTGGCGAAACAGAATTCCAAAGGCAGGATGTGCCCAGATGGGCCTTGGACATATGCTGCACAGTATGTCTCAGAGATAAGGTGACAGGGTGGAGAAAGGAGGTGTGCCTGGGGCCACAGACATTGCTCCTCACGCCCCAGCTGGGTGTGAGCCGTCTCAGGCTAGCATGCTCTTTCCCTGCCCTGTTCCTGGTTCTCTGGCTGGCTTTGCAGGTCAAAGGGCCTCCTTCTACCTGGAATGTCTGAAGTGACAGAAGAATTTAGGGGGACACATCTCCCAGAAGACGGTCCTGCCCTGCGTCTACTTGACCCTCTGGTGGCTCATACATTTGGACAGGCTGCCAGCCACCACCCAGCAGGATAGATGGTCCCCAGGATGAGGGACAAATCCCCGAGAGATCAGTCAGTCTTCCCTGTCTCCAACTGCTGGTACCTCCTACCCCTGGCCCTAACGGCCCCTCACTAGGGCTGCCCACTCTTCCTGGGCAGGCGAGAGCCTTAGCAAGGTCGGTAATGTCATAAGGTGGATCTAGGAAATACTGCTGAGTAGGAACTCTTCCCAGGATCCTGAAGAATCAGCAACTGCAGGATCTGCCTGAGCTATCTTCTTTTGGTGCCACAGATGTCTCCTCACCAAACAGGCTTAAGCTGTGGGGCACCCGTGCAGATGGAGTTTGAACACACTGGAAATTTAGCTGCACCACAATCCATCCACCGACATAGAGAAATGGTCCAAGAACCCGCCAGCAACGTGGCCAAGAGAAGGGAATGGCATCCAAGGAAAACATGTCAGGGAGATTCCCTGGATGGAATCCCTCTCAGCCTGGCTGGCTCTAGCTGAGATAGTGAAATGCAAGATGCCAGTACCAAACGTATTCTTGGTATTTAGGACTACTCACTTAAAGAGTTATCGAAGATCATTCTATTAACCCCAGGCAAGATGAGGTCTAAACCTTGGTTTCCTGAAGTTTTACTCATTTAATTATATATTCCCTACATGGACCTAGGCTTTAAATAATTTTTTTTTTACCCAAAGGCATTCAGCTGCTAATCGAAGTTCATAATCTGCATAAGATGACAAGTGTGACCCAACTGACGTCAAAGAAATGCACTGTTTTGCTTAGCCCAGGTGGCGTTGCCTAAAAAGGTATGATTTCCACTGGGCTTTCCAAAATATTGAACATACCTTAAACTTTTCCTAGATCTCCAGGGACCCAGGAGCCCCAGGTTGGGACCATGATGAGCTGGGATAGGGACGTGGCAAAATGTGGGGACACTGTGTGCGTTATTCTAAAAGATTTCTTTTTTCTTTTATTATTCTTTTTTTTTTACTTATTTTATTTTAAGTTCTGGGATACATGTGCAGAACGTGCAGGTTTGTTACACAGGTACACATGCGCCATGGTGGTTTGCTGCACTCTAAAATATTTCTAACAGTTGATTTCCCCCATCTGTTCTCAGCCTGCTGGTAGGCAAGAAGGTCATCTTTATTTTGTACTCCTCTTTATCCCTTTCTCCGCCCTCCCACCTAGGTGGTGATCTTCCCATTTTCTCCGCCTCTCAGAGCTGGGCTTTCCCCACACAGTGTTGCTCTCTCCTGGGAGCACATCTCGTCAGAGCAGCTGCTGCTGGGGAGCCTCTGCCAGGGTGGGTCGTCAAGGCTGGTCCCTGCCCTCAGGATGCTCAAGAACATGCTGGGACAGAGGACACGATATGTAAATCGTTTGATTACAATACAGTGTAAGACTTAAACTATGGATCAACGACAACCTGAGCTAGAGGCTGATGGGGCATTGTTAATGGCCCAATTAATTGCAAAAATTAAAACAGCAAATACTGGTTTGGTCTAGCTCTGTGAGATGTGCACTGTACTTCTTCACAGACCTTATTTTGCTTGAACCTCACACCAACCCTGTAAGGTGGATTGATAAAGAGGGCATCTGTGTTCTGGTTTATAGAAGATACAGGCATCATCATTCTCTATTATACTGATGAGAAGACCAAGAGTGAGAGAATTCACAGCTACTAGGTGACAGGGCCAGGGCTGAAATGCAGATTATCTTGATTCCACTCAGCCACAGCTTTCTGAAGTTAGAGGAGAAGCAGGCCACATTGCACTGAGATAACATAAAATATATTTTGAGATGGTTGAGACTCATGCCAGGTCTGATGAGGTAGGATTGAGATGGGTGAAAATGATGGCATGTGAATCCCAGGTGGGTGGAACTAGCTGGAAACAACAGCTGCAAAGCAGTGGTTGCTCAGAAGCAGGGGCCTGCCTTGCCTGGCGCCAACCACTCCCAACAACTCCCACTGTTTGTGTGTCCACAGGCATTTTCAGCGGTGGGCCTGAGCCCTCTTCTTCAGAGAAGCCATTCCCCTGCCTCATTCCCAGGCCATTCTCCACCACCCCTGCCATAGCCCCCAGCCCAGGCAGGCCCTGCAGCTGATTCCCACCCTGTGCGGGAGGTGGCTGAGTCCAGCAAGGACCTCACCAGCAGTGTCCTGTCCAACCACTGCAGCTCCTGTGCTGAAGACACCACCCCCTGGCACAGGGTTGGCAGCACAAACCAAAGAGCCCGGCCTATCTTCTCCATGGTGGGCAGCCAGGCTGGGACCCTAGGAGGCAATTCCATGCCAGTGCCAGCAGCCTGGTGAAGTGGTACATGACTCCCCATCACACAGCAGACAGGGGAGGGAGAGGCCATGGGCAGCAAGGGGACTTGGCATGCGGAGCTGAGAAGGGAGAACCTGGCTCTTTCCAAACTGATGGTATGTCAAGCCTCTGAGCCAGAAAGACCCTCCCTTCCCTCTCAGGGCTATAGAAGGATGGCTGGCTTGGGAAAATATGACCACACAAGATGTTACTGGCTCTCTTGAGGCTGGGCCTGATACAGGCAGAGAAAGAAGCTACTGAGAAAAGTATCCCTACCATAGGCCGGTAAACCTCGAGAAAGGCCTCGAGGCTCCATCGTATGAGCCAGCCATGTGCTGTGATTGCACAAGATGGAAATGTGATTTTGGACTGTATTTATGCACAGAGAAGGTCAGGATCTGTGGTGCTCAATGCTGACTGCTCATAAGAATCACCTGTGGTGCTTTGGAAATCCATGACAAGTGAAACTGATATTTTTAAAAGCCCTTTGATGATTCTAACGCACAGCCAGCTTGAGAGCCGCTTGTCTAGCTAGAACAAGAGAGCTTTCAGTTCCACTGTACTCTGCCTGGTGAGAGCATCTAGAGCATCCTGGCACCATATTTTAAGGGACCTTCAACAAATTGGAACAAACCCAAAAGAGGATGATCAGGATGGCAAGGTCCCTAGGAACCATTTCATAGGAGAACTGGTTGAAGGAATTAGGTAAACCAGGAAAGGAGATGACTTCAGAGGCTGTGCTGGGCATCTCACACCTGCAATGGGAGGCATGGGGAAAGGGTCACGCTCCTGGAGCAACTAGCTCAACGGACAGGCGGGGACATTTCAGCTGACATGAGGAAGACATTCCCAACTGAGCTCTCCCAAAATGAGGGGGCATTTCCTAAAAAGTAGCGAGCCTCCCATCACTAGACATATACAAGCAGAGATGGTGCCCATCAGTCATCAGGCTGTCATGCAGGAGATGGGGAGTTAAACCAGATGGCTTCGAAGGTCCCTTGAAACTCCAAAACTCTGATGCTTTATGTGGCCTTGTTATCCTTTATTCATTTCACAGATCTCTCCTGAGCACCTACCATGTGCAGGTGCTGTTCTAGGTGCGGGGACACAGCTGAGAAACAGAGCCTCCGCACTAGTGACTCACATTGTGGTGAGGGGAGACAGATAATAAATAAACACGTATGCAACGGGTCAGGAAGGGGCAGGAGCTCCAAAGTAAAATTAGGCAGCGTCAGGAGAGAGTGATGTGGGTTGGGAGAAAGACGAATAGACACCCGGGAGGAGCTGTGCGAGGTGCGCTCTGTGGCTTCCTCCCATCCTTTGTCTCAGGAGCTTGTTTTCCCGTAGCCAGGCATAAAGCTGCCAACAGGGAGGATGGAGAAGTTTTAGGCGTCGCCTGCTGGCCCTTCCGAGCAGGTGCGTGCACGGTGTTTCCATGCATACTTCTGGATCCTCACCCCAGGAAATACAGCCAGCTGGCTATGGGCAGTGGGCTCGGGGCTACAGTTTCAGCAGGGAGAATGAAGGTTTCTTGGGAGGAATAATACGAAAGGCATCAGAGAGAAGAGAAGGGCAGGCTGGGGTAGGCCTAGGAAGCAGCAGGGCAGGCTTCCCCGTCCCTCTGTGAGCCAAGTCTTTGTTTGATGATGGCTTTTAATACCCAAGGCAAAACTTCTCTTCTCCGGCCTACACATCCCTAATCCTTCGGTTGATGCTCCCTCTCTGCTCATTTCCTACAAGCACCCCTCACAACCCCTCACACATGCGCACACACACGCACGCACACACACATGCACTGGCCCGCGAAGTTCCGCGTCAAAAGCCCCTTACTGCCACCCTCTAGAGGAGTCGAGCTCCAGTGATAATGTTCCTTTGATTCTTCATGGCCTCCAACCCCGCCCCCTAGGTTTTGATTTCAGGACTGGGGCAATTTGCTGAAGACCCGGAGTTCACAGAGGTCTCAACCCAGAAGCTGGCCTCCGCCTGTGACAGCACAGGAGACGAGGTGGAGTGCGAGGCCCACAGCGTCCTCAGCGGGGCGCCCCGCGGAGCCCTGCAGAGGCCCTCTTGCCTTTAGTGAACTGCGGGGACCTGGCCAATGCCGGCAGGGGCCAGCGCAGAAAAGCCTGGGAGATGCGCGTCCAGGGCCGCGAGTGCAGGGAAGCTGCGGGACCGCAGAGTCCGCTCGGCAGCCGGTAGTCAGGGCGCCGGGGCGTTAGGCTTCAGATTTACTTCAATGTTCCTAATGGGCTTGCTTCAGAAGTGCTCACTGTTCTCGCCACCTGAGGAACCGCATTTTCATGTATTTGTATTGGGACAAGACGCGGAGTCCGGTGTGTAAAGGGCCTGCTTTGAGGGAAGAAAGGCCGCAGCCCAGGGTGAGTTCGCAGAGACGGCGGGTGAGGAGGAGGCGGGAGATCAGGGACGAAGGGGAGGGCAGAGGCCCCTGCCTGCTCCTGGCACTGCAGGCCCTGCGCCGCGAACCTGCGGCCGCCTCTGGGGAGAGAGGAGCCCGGCTTCCTGCGGCGCTCACCAAAAGGACCCGAGAGCAAACGGGTGTCTTTCAACTCAGCTTGTAATAAAAGCATTTGCACATATCCTGTATGAGCCTCCCTGTCTCCAGAGAAACAGGGCCTGTGGATTTGGAGAAGGGAGCGGGGCAGGACTTCTCGCGAGGACCCCAGCCCAGCCCACAGAGGGAGGGCGAAGCAGCCGGAGCCGCGGAGCTCCGGGAAACAGGCGTGGGAGCCGGGGCCCAGGGCAGCAGTGCAGCTCACCCCAGACCCGGGCACAGCGGCGGCTGCCCGGCCACCTCCGCCCGCCCGCGACGGGATCACTTGACCTACACCCAGCACGCGGAGCTCCAGCCCAGCAGCTGGGCAGGCAGCCGAGAAAGGAGCTGGCGCCGCCCACAGGGAAAGGGCACCAGCGCCCACCAAATGAAGATGTGCTGAGCTTCTGTGGAGCGCTCTTTTGTTTTGTGGTTTGACACTTTTCTTGCAGTTTTCATTTTTTGATTTGTTTTGGGCTTTTTTTTTTTTTTTTTTTTTTTTTGGTTTTTATTTTCCCAGAGGAGAGGAGAGGAAGGAGAGTGTTTACAAAGTCCTGTAGCCACCCACTTTGTTTTCACTTTTGCCAGTGTAACTCGGGTTTGGTTTTCTTGTATTATTTAAATGGTTGTGGTTTCCTTTACCCAGGTAGGGTTCAATAGAAGCCTTTGTTGGAGAATTATACTAAGTATTGTGTATGCCCAATAATTTGTTATAAATCCCTTAAGTAGTAATCCTTTTTTTTTTTCCTGGCTTGGTTTAGTTTTCTAATGTAAAGGTAATTGGCAATGCACTTGATATATCTTGCACAATATAGGTAATTGAGTTGGGTTCCATTTTACCCTGGGTGTATAGGTAGGTGTGGGAGGGAGGAGCATGGGTGAGAGAGTCTTTGTGTGTGTTACACATGTGTGTATGTAGTAGGTTGTGTACATATGTCCAAATGTGTATGCACCCATATCGTGTGCCCATGGCACCTGTGAGTACACAATCCCCCTATTCTGGTTTAATTGTGCGGAGATCTAAATCTGGGACCGTTTGAATACAAAAACAGACCACTGTCTCTACTTCTAAGGTGGTAATCCATAACTCTTTGCATTTCTGTCCCACAAGATAATGCAAAAACAATGCAATAATATTCATTTTAAAATATAGTTGTGAGTTCCCTTGGCATTAAAACTATATTTTAAAAAAACACAGAGAAATTTAAGGGAAAAACTCAAGAAGGCATTTTGCTTCGATACATCTCATGTAATTTTTTATTACTTTGCTAATGTTTCTGTTGAAGAAACTTAAATTCAGGTCAGTTTCAGTATTTTTCAAATTTTTTTTAATGGAGTTACAATTGTGCCAAGTGAATATAATGATTATATTTTAATTCACTTCTTGTGTAATTTGCTGCATGTAAATCATTTTGTATTTGGAGTGTGACAAGGGTTACTTCTGAACACTTAAGTGCTTTTCTCTATGTGATTGAGGGAAAGGGAATGATTTTTCTTTTAATTTGTATGATGAGCAAAGGTATTGTTGCAGTCTCACTGATGCATCTTATTGTAGCAGTTTCTCATTGTTTGAACTAGTACCCAGGGTTCTTTGTCCTACATCCAAGAAGGTTAAGGAATGTGGATACAAGGATGAGGTTGGAGCAAAAGTTTAATAAGCTAAAGAAGAAAGCTCTCCGCAGCAGAGGGGAGTCCGAGTGGATTGCCAGGTTGCAGCTGATTGCAGTAAACTTCTATAAGCAACTGCTCTCCTCCCTGTAACTGTTTTAGTAACTTTTTACCAGTAAAGCTGTCCGTGCAATTCCCCTTATGCAGCTGTAGGTATGTCTTTAGGCAGGCACAAAGCGCCACTTCTCTTATTTATATAACTGTGGGTTTGTTTTAGGTAAGTCCCCCTCCTCCCTGTGCCAGTTTCTGTGGAGCCCACCGTGTATATGCCTGAAAAGGGGAAGAAACTTTTTCCTGGGAGTTTGCTAATTATACAAAGAACAATGGGCTTCTCTGCAGGACCCTGTCTGCTTATCTGTGTGCATGTGCAGCCTGAGGTTTTACCCATGTTTGTTTTTGTTTGTTTGTTTTGTGTGTGTGTGTGTGTGTGTGTGTGTGAGTGTGTTTTCCTGTTGCTCTGACTTTTGAGGCAGGCTGCTTTTGCAGTCCAAGTATTCCCCAACTGATTTTTCCCTTTCCTTCTCCCTCATTATTCTGGTATCTGTAAGTCATTATTCTGGTATCTGCAAACAAGTTAGGACATTGCTGTTTTGAATATCTTGTGTTTGCTTCCATTTCCCTCAATTTTTCTAAAATCATGTGATAGGTATATTTGTACCACGTCTTACTTTGTGAAACCAAGACCTGTTTTATTCTTTCTGTTGTTTTTTGAGATGGAGTTTCACTCTTGTTGCCCAGGCTGGAGTGCAATGGCGTGATCTTGGTTCACTGCAACCTCCACCTCCCAGGTTCAAGAGATTCTCCTGCCTCAGCCTCCCGAGCAGCTGGGATTACAGGTGCCCACGACCATGCCCAGCTAATTTTTGTATTTTTAGTAGAGACTGGGTTTCACCATGTTGACCAGGCTGATCTCAAACTCCTGACCTCAGGTGATCTGCCTATCTTGGCCTCCCAAAGTGCTGGGATTACAGACATGAGCCACCATGCCCTGCCTGACGTGTTTTATTCTTGTCTTCACTCTATCCACTCGTTTTGGGTTCTTTGGCTTCATACTTCTCCAAGAACAATGCTTCACTGTGAGGTGTAGGGAGGCATTCTGACCAGCCTCTGTGTCCCTGAGCTGGCATCAGAATCCTCCACAGAAGAGGTGGCTGACCTTCTCTTTATTGCCACAGCATGGACTTCTGTCATTGGTTTCCTGGGGAAAATGTGCACTGACTGAGAGTATGGAAGTAGTCTCAGGCTGGCTGGAGGGAGGGGCCTCCTCACTCCAAGCCTCTGCTCTACTCAAACGCAGACATCAGGGGCTCAAGAAGGGAAACTGGGTGAAACCATTGTTCATCCAAAAATCAACTCTGTCATGCTCATTTCTCTATCCTTTCCTCACTTTAGACCAGGCTTTCCTCCAGCTGCCATGGAGGGGACCAGGACAAGGGAGGAGGCAGCAAGCAGGAGCTCACAGTGGTGGAAACAAATTTTGTGGGGGCAACTCTTATGCTAGTTTGCATCTCCCTAGAACATTGCCCTATGGTGTTGTGTCCTTCAAATGTATTTTGACAATGATGGTTGAAAAGCAACTGCTTTGGGGAAAATAGGACCCAACTATTCACCCTGAATTGGCTCATTGAATCTCTTGTAGTCCCAGTGTTCAGCCCCTCTTGGCACTTGTATCAGCAAGCTAGAAATTAAAATAGACCATCATCCATTCCTCAATGACGATGAGTTGTGCTTTCATGGACTGATTCATGAAAAAGTGGAGAAAGTGTCAGTAACTCCCAGATTAACTGTTTCTAGAGTCTAGAAACAAGAGTCTTTGTGGTTCTCCAAGTTCAGCCCATCTAGATTTTCTTGGTTCCTTTTCATTGCCATAAAGGTCTTCTAGAAATTGACTTTAGGTAACATCCTTTTTCTAGTTTCCCAAGGTTTCTACCACTGCGCTGCTAAGATTCTAGTTATGATGGTGATGGGGGCCCTTTTGAACTGACAACTGGTTCTTGCTGTATATTTGGCCCCTAGATGGAAATTTGGAGTTTTGACAGACCCAACACACACACACTCTCTCTCTCTTTCTCTCTCTCTCTCTCTCTCTCTATCTTTCTCTCTCTCAAAAGTTTTCTGCTGCCTTCTCTTTTGAATTTTTCATTCCCAGGTCTCACTGGACAGTGGCATGGGCTATGGGGTGGGCTCCTGCCCACAACTCCCAGGGTCCTGCCAGTTATGATCCCCTCACCTTTCCCACTCATACCCACAGGCTCCCTTCTTGTCTAATGTCAACACTGGCCAGAGTAGCCTTCCTCCCTGCACCCTACAAGGAAGATGTCAGCTGTGACAAGGACACCTTGCCCAGTGCTGCTGTGAGGGAAGGAGGTATAGATGGGAGTTCCCCATCTAGGGCAGTGGATCTTTCCTAGCCTGACCTGCTGGTCATTTAGTCTAAGACTGATGTACGATGCCTATCATCAGGATAGATTAGTTCAATGAATAGTGACATCAATGAACCACATCCATGATGTGCTTGGTGATGTCTACTCTCCACCTAAAATGGAATTTTCCCTATGACCTTGTGAAACATAATTGCCAAATCTCCTGTAGCCCTCCTGAAAACCCCTGCATGGCAGGAGAAAACAGCCAGTGGCTGAGGAACCAAAGGACTTGAAGAAGCACAACTTAAGGTCTTTGATTTGATCAACTTAATTTTTATTTGTCCTCTGAGCAGCCCTGCCTCTTTTATTTCTACATCTTGATCTTTTAGTAATTCTTCATGTGCATGGCCACAAGAAGCAAAAAAAAAAACAAAAACAAAAACAAAAAACTCCAGCTGTTTGTTTTCTGCCTGTTCCTAGAAGATTTTCATGGTTTTGAGATAAAAAGAGGAGGCTTTTTTCTAGGTTTTGACTTGGATTAGTGAAAATTTCCCTGCTATTCAGAAGCTGTTAGTTATAGCCCCCAGTGGGCTTCCCGCTGACTGGGGAATCAGGTCAAAGAACAAGAGGATGTCTCTTATCCTCCCGTTTCCCTGGTTCCAAATTCCAGGTACTTGTCTGGAGTGAAGCTGCCTATCACTCCCTGACAGCCGTTCTCCATCCAGAATGTCTCCTGACCCTCCAGCTGAAGACAGCAGAGCCAGCACAGGAGAAGCAGACCTTTCCATGCCCAAGTTCAAATCTTTCTGAGAAATAAGAACACTCTGAAAATGAGGAGTTTGGAATCATCAAAAGGGTGATGGTTGCTTTATAGAGGCTGAACGATGCACACTCAGCACTCCTAAAGGCAAAAATATAGAATAAGAATTTAGGTTAGGGATAGACTAGAACCCTGGTAATTGGGGTTTTCAGCACCATCAAGCCATTATCATAAATGTTCCAAAGGAGGATGATGGTATCTCCATGCCTACAGGCCTAGAATAATTGAAATGCCATTCTCTAGGAGTTAGAATCAGTTTAGCAAAGAGACCAAGAAAAGGGTTGTCTGGCTCCCAGAAGCCCTCTTTAAACCCCAGGACAATCAAAAACTTGCTGATAGAGTCTGGGCCAATTCTGCTTTTTAAAGAAGACCTGGTTCTGGGGTAAAGGTCAGCAGAGAGAGGACTGTGGGGAGAATAGGGGCAAGAAAAGGGCATATTTTGGCTCCTTCTGTGTCTTCTCATTGTTGTAGAAAAAAACAGGTTCTCATCGCACAACCAGGAAAGATTAGGCATGCAGACACTTTGAAGGGTGAGTGGTTACAGAATTTATTGGGCAAAAAGAAAAAAGATTCTCAGCAAAGCTAAAGGGGTTCCTGTTAAAAGGCCCCCATCTCACAGATTGAATTCCAGGTCACCACCCAGGAACAGGAGAGGCCAGGCTCCTCCCCCCTACAAACAGCACGAACTTCCTGAGGCCCTGCCCCATCCTCCCAGTGCACAGGCCAGTCGGAGGTTCTCCAGGGACCACTTTTTACTTGGCTGTCTCACCATTTTGTGGAAAGACATGTTTAGTTCACCCATCCACAGTGACCAGTGGGGTGGAGTGGCTGATATATCAAGGGTCTATATAGGAAGATTTTCAATCTGGTGGTGTTTTCGCAGTCACATTGACCTTCCTGGCAGGTGTGAGGGTCTCTACCACCCAGTTCCCCACTCTGCTGATGTCCTTCCACTCATGCTATCCAGCTGCCACATGACACAGGTCCTGTCTGAAGGCAGGCGGGGAAGCCCAAACCTGACTCACAGGGCAGCTCGCAGTTGCCAGAGTCTAGGTTCTCCAGCAGCCACATTTTGAAGAAAGACATGTCCTACAATTGTCACGGATGGGCACCCTTCCCCCTCCCTACACAGATCTCCCTCTTCCTGCTCCCCTCCCAGCTCCCAGCTCTCCCTTCTCCTTGTAGCCTGGTGAGAGGGACAAGTCAGAGAGAGTTCTACATACAGATATTTGCACAGTTTTTTTGTGAGGCCACTTTTGGTTTTAACTTTATTTCTATCTCAAAGCAATGAAAAATTGCTTTATTGCATCAGATACCAATATAACAGTTAAATGCGTTTCTGCTAGATCTCCGTATTGGTTTTTTGTTTTTTGAGACAAGGTCTCACTTTGTTGCCTAGGCTGGAGTGCAGTGGCACAATCATGGCTCACTGCAGCCTTGACTTCCTGGGATCAATGGATCCTGTCAACTCAGCCTCCCACAAGTAGCTGGGACTAGAGAAGCACGTCATCACACCCAGCTAATGTTTGTATTTTTACAGATACTGGGTTTCACTATTTTGCTTAGGTTGGTCTCCAACTCTTGGCTCAAGTATTCCTCCCATCTTGGCCTCCCAAAGTGCTGGGATTACAGGTGTGAGCCACCACACACACCTGGTCTCCACATTGTTGGGGAGATACTTGAACACTCCCTCTACCAAAACACACACACCCGTAAGGCCCAAAGATGAGTGGAGCTCTAGATAAGGGACCTTTCTTCTTCCCAGAATGGTGAGCACTGTATAGACAGACATGGAGAGAGAACCAGAGTGACTCCTTGGATGGAAAAATGACTTCCTTGGGGGAAAGAAATCATTCTTATTAATAAGCAAGATGATTTCTACATAGAAAATTCCAAGGAATGCACACACACACACACATACACACACCCTAAAAGTAATACAAGGTCAACACACAACACACAGCTGAATTTCTAAACACTAGCAATAAATAAAACCAAAAATTTTGAAATAATTGCACCTATAATATCTCTGAAACATAAAACTTCTAGGTATATATAGGATCTGTGTGCTGAAAACTTACACAATGCTGTAAACAAAATCAAAGAAGTTCTAAATAAATCAAGAGTATATGGATTCATGGATTGGAAGACCCAACACAGTAAAGATTTTAATTCTTCCCAAATTGATCTATACCTTTAATGCAACTCCATCAAAATCCCAGCACAGGATATTTTATAGAGACAAGATGATTCTATGATTCTATAATTTACATGCAAAGATAAAAGGTAAAAAGAAGAATACAGAGAGTCTAGAAATAGGTCTACACAAATACAGCCAATTGACTTCTGACAGAGGTGCAAAGGCAACCCAGTAAACAAAGACACTCTTTCAATAGGTGCTATTGGAACAATTGAACTGTCATGTGCAAAACATTGAACCGCAACCTAAAGCTCCTACCTTATATAAAAATCAATTCAAATGGACCACAGATTTAAATATAAAATGTAAAACTATAAAACTTTTAGAAGAAAATATGGGATAAATATTCAAGACTTAGTCCTTAGACATGGCACCAAAATAGTAATTGATGGAAGAAAAAATGGATCAAATGGACTTCATCGAAATTTAGGACTTTGGCTTTGTGAAGGATCCTATAAGAGGATGAAATGGCATGCTATAGACTGAGTGAAAACATTTGCAAACCGTATATCTGACAAAGGACTTGCATCTAGGATATATGAAGAACTCTTAAAACTGAACACATTTTAAAAAATCCCCTGAGAAAATGGACAAAAGACACGAGCAGACATCTCACCAAAAAAGGGATATGAGGCCAGGTGCAGTGGCTCACGCTTATAATCCCAGAACTTTGGAAGGCTGAAGCAGGAGAATCAGTTGGGCACAGGAGTTGGAGACTGGCCTGGACAACACAGGGAGACCCCATCTCTACAGAAAAATGTTAAAATTAGCCAGGTATGATGGCATGTGCCAGTAGTTCTAGCTACTTGGGAGGCTGAGGTAGGAGGATTGCTTGAGCCCAGAAGGTTAAAACTGCATTGAGCTCTGACAGCACCACTGCACTTCAGCCTGGGTGACAAAGTGAGACCCTGTCTCAAAAAAAAAAAGAAACGAACAGCAAATATGCACATGTAAATATGATTGGCATCATTAACCATTAGGGAAAAATACAAATTAAAACCACAATGAGCTATCACTATACCTATTAGAATGGATAAGTTGAAAAATCACACCACATGCTAGCAAGAATGCAAAGAACACCAGACATGTCATATATTGCTAGCATGAATAGAAAATGGTACAGCCATTCTGGAAAATAGCTTGGCAGTTTCTTATAAAATTCAACATGCACTTACCATGTGACTCAGCAATGGCACTCTTTGGCCTATATCCCAAAGAATGAAAACTTATGTTCAAAAAAGCCTGTGCATGAATGTTAATAAAAGCTTTATTCATAATAGCCTCAAACTGGAAACCACCCAAATTTTGTTCAATGAGTAAGGGATTCAACAAACTCTAGCATATCCATTCAGTGGACTACTACTCAGGAATAAAAATAAATAAACTATTGATATGTACACCAACTTGAAGGATCTTCACAGCATGAAGCTGAGTGAAAAAGGCCAAATGCATAAAAGGTTACACACTATAATTTCATGTAATAACATCCTCAAAATGACAAAACTATAGAGGTGGAGAATGGATTACCAGTGACCAGGGGGACAGGGACAGGTGGGTGATGTGACTGAAAAGGGGCAGCACAAGGGAGTTCCACTTGGTGATGAAACAGTTCTATGTTGATGGTGGTGGTGGTGGTTACAAGATACTATACATGAGGTCAACTTGCATAGAAAGCACACACACCCCCACACCCCCACACACACACAAGTACATGTAAAAGTTGTGAGAACTGCATAAGGTCTGTCGTCTAACAATATTGAACCAATGCCAATTCCCTAGTTTTGATAGTGTAACTGCTGTTATGGAAGATGTCACCTTTAGGGGAAGCTGTGTGACTCATCCGAGGGACTGTACCTACTATTTTGCAACTCCCTATGAATATAATCACTGCAAAGTAAAAAGTTAAGAAGAAAACTAGCAGTGAAAATATTGGAAACAGTCCAATGTCCATCCATATGGGACTGATCAAATAATTAATGGTACATCCACACCACACAACTACATGGAAATTGAACAACTCAGAGATTCTGAATTGTAACAGAACAGCTGGGTCTACTCCCAGGGTGGTACCCCCTGAGCCACATAAAAACAAGATGAGGCTTGTTGAATAGAATGGAACATTTTAAACCCATGCCTTTCCTTGCAAATCTGTGCTTCACGTTTTAAAAGCAACCTCTTACACAAATTGTAGCTGCCTAATTTTCAAGAAGATCATTCACCCTTTTGCTGTCTGATGGGATTCTGCGAGGTTTCTTTTGTTGTTGTTATTGTTTTTCTGGATAGCAACTGTTAACCATTGTAATGTATTTCACTTTTGTTGTCCTTTGTGTATATTTACCTACGTTTTACAAAATTGGTATCGCACTATTCATCATGAACCTTTTTCCCTTGAGTTTTCCCCAACATTTTATTGTGAAAATTTTTAAACAGAAAAGTTGAAAAATTGTACAGCGAGCAGCCATATATCTACCACTTAGATTCTCATTACCATTCTATGATATTTGCCTATCACTTATCTGTCCTTTTATCCATTCCTCTATGCACCTATTAATCCATCTTACTTTTTTAAGGCATCTCAAAGCAAGTTGTAGACATTACTACACTTAGCACTTCAGCATGCATATCATTAACTAGAGTTCAATATTTGTTTATAGTTTTTTAGATAACATTTATGTACAATTAAATACATACATTTTTAATGTAACATTAGATGAATTTTTACAAATATATATACCTGTGCAACCTAAATCCCTATAATATATAAAACATTATAATCACTCTAGAAAGTTTCCTCATGTCTGGGGTTGCCAGATTTAGAAGGAAAAATAATAATAAGGTGCCCAGTTACATTTGAATTTCAGATAAATAATGGCTTTGTGTGTTTGTGTGTGTGTGTGTGTGTGTGTGTGTGTGTGTGTGTGTGTTTAAGTATGCCCCCACTGCTGCATGAGAAATTCTTGTCCTAAAAAAATCATTTGTTGCCGAGCTGGGCATGATGGCTCACACCTGTAATCTCAGCACTTCGGGAGGCCATGGCAGGAGGATTGCTTGTGGTCAGAGGTTCGAGACCAGCCTGGGCAATATAGCAAGGCTCAGTCTCTACAAAAAAAGAAAAAGAAATATTAGCCAGTTGTGGTGGTGCACACTTGTAGTCCTAGCTACTTGGGTGCTTGAGGTGGGAGGATCACAGGACCCCAGGAGTTTGAGGCTGCAGTGAGCTATGATCACACCACTGCATTCCAGAGTGAGACCTTTTCTCAAAAAAAAAAAAATACTCATTGTTTATCTGAAATTCAAGTTTAACTGGGCATCTTGTATTTTGTCTAGCAACTCCACAAATAACCCTTCCTAGTCAATCCTGAATCCTTTATCCTCTAGATGCATCTACTGTCTGATTTTCTTTTTGTCATCTGTGATGGTTAATATTAGTTGTCAAGTTGATTGGATTGAAGGATGCCAAGATAGCTGGTAAGCATTGTTTCTGGATGTGTCTGTGAGCGTGTTGCTAGAGGAGATTGACATTTGAGTCAGTGGACTGGGAGAGGAAGATCCACCCTCAATGTGGGTGGACACCATCCAATCGGCTGCCAGTGTGGCTAGAACAAAGCAGGCAGAAGAAGGTGGGATAAGCTGGCTTGCTGAGTCTTCTGGCTGCCTTCTTTCTCCCGTGCTGGATGCCTTCTTCTGCTCCTCCTGCCCTTGGACATCAAACTCCAGGTTCTTTGGCTTTTGGACTCTGGAACTCGCACCATTGGTTTTCCAGGGTCTTTCAGTCCTTTGCCCACAGACTGAAGACTGCACCGTCAGCCTCTCCAGTTTGAGGCTTTCGGACTTGGACTGAACCACTACCAGCTTCTCTCTTCCCCAGCTTGCCGATAGCCTATCATGGGACTTTGCTTTGTAATTGTGTGAGCCAATTCTCCCTAATAAACTCACACACACACACCCTATTAGTTCTGTCCCTCTGGAAAACCCTGACTAATACAAGATCATAGATTAGTTCTGCCTGTTTTACAAGGATCTAACTTCATAAATTGGAATCATAAAGTATGTCTCTTTTGTGTTATACTTCTTTCACCAAAATAGCATTTTCAAGATTTATTCATGCTATTTTATCTAACATTAGTTTGTACTACTTTATAAATTTGCCACAGTTTTTCCTACCGATGTACACCTGGATTGTTTTCAGTTCAGGGCTATTATAAATAGAGCTTCTACAGACATTTTTGTACAAGTCTTTTTGTGGACTATTTTTTTTTATTTCTCTTGGGCAAATACCTAAAAATGTAATAGCTTGGTTACAGGGTATATGTATATTCAGTTTCCTAAGAAACAGGTAGATCTTTTCAAAGTAACTATACAATTTAACATTCCCACCAACAGTGCATGAAAGTTCAGGTTGTTGCAAATCCTGGCCAACATTTTGTGTTTCAGTGTTTTTATTTTTAGTCATTCTGGTAGGTGTGTAGTGGTTTTTCATTGTGGTTTTAATTTGTATTTTTCTAACAATTAATGATGTTAAGTACTTTTTAATGTTCTTGTTGGTCATTCATATATATTAATTTGTAAAATGTCTATTGAAATGTTTTGCCTATTTTTAAAAGTTGGGTTGTCTTTTTGTTATTGAGTTAAGGAGATTTATTTATTTATTTATTTATTTATTTATTTATTTATTTATTTTTGAGACGGGGTCTCACTATGTTGCTCAGGCTGGCCTTGAACTCCTGGGCTCAAGCGATCTGCCTGCTTTGGCCTCCCAAAGTTCCAGGATTACAGGTGTAAGCCACCCCACCTGGTCAGGAGTTTTTTTAAAATATATTCTGTTTATCAGTTATTTGTCAGATATATGTCTTGCAAAATATTTCCCTATGTCTTGTCTTTTTTCTTAATAGTGTGTTTGAAGAACAGAATTTTTTTTTATTTTTATGAGGTTTCATTTATCATTTATTGCTTTTTATATCCTAACAAACTTTTACCTATGTCCAATTCACAAAGATATTCTTTTGTTTTCATCTGGAGACTTTATAATTATAACTTTTATGTTTAGGTCTATGCTCCACTTGAATTAATTTTTGTGTATGGTGTGAGGCAAGGGTAGAGATTCATTTATTTCTGTAGAGAGATACCTAGTTGTTCCAGAACTATTTCTTAAAGAATTTTCTTTTCCCATTGGCACCTTGTCAAGAACCAAATGGCCATGGTATGCATCTGTTTGGGAGTTCTCTATTTATTCCATTGACTTACTTGTTTATCTTTATCCCAGTACCTCCAGTAAAGTTTTGATTTCTGTAACTTCAGAATAAGTCTTAAGTCCAGTAGTGTAAGTGCCCCACCTTTATTATCCCTTTCCAAGGTTGTCTTGGATATTTTAAGTCCTTTGCTTTTTCATATAAAATTTAGAATCCTATGAATAAACCTGATGGGTTTTAAAATTTTTAAAATTTTTGTTTTATCAAATATGTTTTCTGGGCCAGGTGCAGTGGCTCACTTGTAATCCTAGTACTTTGGGAGGCTGAGGCAGGCAGATCACCTGAGGTCAGAAGTTCGAGACCAGCCTGGCCAACATGGTGAAACCCTGTCTCTACTAAAAATACAAAAATTAGCCAGGTATGGTGATGGATGCCTGTAATTCCAGCTACTCAGAAGGCTGAGGGAGGAGAATTGCTTGAACCTGGGAGGTGGAGATTGCAGTGAGCCGAGATTGTGCCACTGAACTCCAGCTTGGGCAACAGAGTGAGACTGTCTCAAAAAAAAAAAGATTTTCTGAATATATTGAAATGAGTTTTCTCATCTTGTCATGAGATGAAAATTTTTTTCTTTGCTCTACGGTTGTGGCGAATGTGCTACTATTATTGTATTGTAGTCTATCTCTACCTTCAGAGATAGTAATGTTCGTTTTATATACTTGGAAGCTCCAGTGTTGAGTGCACAGATATTTCTAATTATTATATCCTCTTGCTAAATGGACCCCTTTGTCATTATGTAGTGACCTTCTTTGTCTCTTTGCAATCTTTGATTTGTGTCTCTATAGGTGAAGTGGGTTTCTTATAGGCGGCATATAGTTGGGTCTTATTTCTTTATTTGTTCAGCCACTCTATGCCTTTTAATTATAGAATTGAGTCCATTTACATTCAGTGTTGTTACTGAAAAGGTAGGACTTATTAGTGCCATTTTCTTCCTTATTTTCTGATTGTTTTGTAACTCCTCTCTTTCTTCCTTTTCTTACTGTCTTTCTTTGTAGTTATTTTCTCTGGTAGTATGTTTTAATTGATCACTTGTTATTTTTAGTGAATCTGTTGTTGGTTTTTGTACTGTGGTTACCATCAGGCTTACAAAAAACATCTCATAGGTGTAACATGTGAATTTAAAGAGATAACAACTTATCTTAGGTCACACAAAAAATAGGAGCAAACAAGGAAAAAAACCCTCTACACTTTAACTCCACTCCTGCAACACACATTTTGACTTTATATTGCCTCAATTTACTTATTTTATATTGCCTGTCTCTTATCAAGTTGCTGTAGGTATTATTGTTTTTAATAGGTTTGTCTTTTGGATTCATACTAGGGTTATAAGTATTTATAAGTATATAAATACACAGTTATGGTATTAGACTACTCTGGGTTTGTCCGTATACTTGATTTTACCAATGGGTTTTGTATCTTCAAATGTTTTCTTTATTTACATTAATGTTTTTTCCTTTCAGAATAAGTAATTACCTTTAGCATTTCTTGTAAGATGAGTCTGGTGGTGGTGAATTCTCTCAGCTTTTGTTTGTCTGGAAAAGACTTTATCTTTCCTTCATATCTGAAAGATAACTTTGCTGGATAAAATATTCTTGGATGTCTGCTTTTTTTCACTCAGCACATTGAAAGTGTCATCTCACTCTTTTTTGGCCTATACAGTTTCTGTTGAGAAGTCTCTTGCCAGATGAATTAGAGCTCCTTTGTATGTTATTTGTTTCTTTTCTCTTGCTGCTGTTAGGATCCTCTCTTAAAAGAGAGAAAGGATCCTCTGTTTGTCATTGACCTTTGAGAGTTTGAAGATTATATAACCTTAGGTTAGTCTTATTTGGGTAAAAAATATTTGGTGTTCTTTTACTTCCCTGTACCTGAATATTTATCTTTTTCTCATGTTTTGGAAAGTTTTCTATTATTTCTTTGAATAAGGTTTCTACACTTCGCCCTTCCTCAACTCTCTCTTCAATACCAATGATGTTTAATTTTGTCTTTTCAGGTAATTTTCTGTATCTTGTAGGTGATCTGTTTCTTTTCTTTTTTCTTCTTTGTCCTCTAACTGTGAATATTTAAATAGCTTCTCTTTAAGCTCACTGACTCTTTCCTCTGTTCAATGCATTTTGCTGTTGAGGGCCTGTAATTAATTTTTTAGTCCAGCAAATGTATTGCTCAATTCCAAGATTTCTGTTTGATTTTTAAAAAATTATTTCAATCTCTTTGTTAAATTTCTCTGATAAATTTCTAAATTTGTTTTCTGTGTTATCTTGGAGGTCACTGCGTTTTCTCAAAACTATTATTTTGAGCCGGGCATGGTGGCTCATGCCAATAATTCCAGCATATTGGGAGTCTGAGGTGGGAAGATCACTTGAGGCCAGGAGTTTGAGATGAACCTGGGCGAGATGGTGAAACCCCATCTCTACTAAAAATACAAAAATTAACCAGGTGTGGTGGTGCATGCGTGTAATCTCAGCTACTTGGGAGGCTGAGGCACAAGAATCACTTGAACCTGAGAGATGGGGGTTGCAGTGAGTCAAGATTGCGCCACTGCACTCCAGACTGGGTGACAGATTAAGGCTCTGCCTAAAAAAAAAACAAAAAAAAAACTATTATTTTAAATTCTTAGAGAGTTCACATATTGCCTGCCATCTTATTAAGATCAGTCACTGGTTCCTTGTTTGGTTGTTTGAAAAAGTCATGGTTCCCTGATTGCTGTTGTTTCTTGTGGATGTACATCTATGTCTTTCATTTAAGGATTAGCTCTTTATTCCAGTCTTCTTGGTGTGGCTTGTTTTGGTTTTTATTGGATATGTTTGCTTACAGATTGTAATTTATCTGTTGACTTCTTTTTTTTCCTTGCTAGGTCACTGCCTTCTTTTTGTCACTAGATGGCACTTTAAGCCCAGGTTTGCTACAGTTCTAGTAAATGATCAGAGTGCTTCCCAGCCCAAATGGGGAGATGCCAAATGAAATATCGCAGTAGTGCAGGAAGGCTGCCTAGGGTGTTCTGCCCAGAGCACGAACCTGTTGAATGAACCTCCTACAGCATGGTGCTGCTGAAGAGCTACTCTGATTTGTGCCTCATTTCGCTGAGTTACAGAGGTTCCAGGGCTGAGGATGGCAGTCTCACTTCCCTCCTTTGTCTCTGGCTGCCCTCAGGAATAGTTTTCCTTTCAAGGTACTCCTGATGCTTCCCTTGGGTTGAGGCAGGGATGGGTCTCCTGCCAGAGAACCCAAGATGCTGGGGAAGCTGGTTGTCCACCTCAACCTCGGTTTTTCCAGTGTGGAAACTATAAGTCAGGGAGAAATTTTCCGTACACTTGGTGCTGAGCAGACTGGGAGGAAAGGCATTGTGGACACGAAAGTCTGATTCTCTTACCATCTTCTCAAAGTTTTTCACTTCTCTGTGGCCCCAGGAACTGTCTCATCTTCATATTCAAGTTTGACATATTGCTGGTAATAATCTCAGCGCTATATATTTGTTTTTGGTTTTCTGTGGAAGAAGCTTGATTCTATGCTGCCATTTTGGAACCCCTGGTGAAATTTTGATTAAGAAATATTCTGGGCTGGGCGCGGTGGCTCACGCTTGTAAATCCCAGCACTTTGGGAGGCCGAGGCGGACGGATCACAAGGTCAGCAGATCGAGACCATCCTGGCTAACACGGTGAAACCCCGTCTCTACTAAAAATACAAAAAATTAGCCGGGCGTGGTGGCGGGTGCCTGTATTCCAGCTACTCAGGAGGCTGAGGCAGGAGAATGGCGTGAACCTGGGAGGTGGAGCTTGCAATGAGCCACGATAGCGCCATTGCACTCCAGCCTGGGCGACAGAGCGAGACTCTGCCTCAAAAAAAAAAAAAAAAGAAAGAAAAGAAAAAGAGAAAAAAAAAAAGAAATATTCTGCAAATGTTTTTATATTTTACTTCCTTTTCAATTACCACCATCAGCATTCTGCAGCCATGTTATTGACAAGCACTTTCACATAGCTCTATACACCTCACCACATTGTTCTCACTCCCTTTCATAAATAGGAATTACTTCTAAGCCTCTGATTCTATGGACTCATCTTGCTTCATCTCTCTCAACATTCTTTGTATTCTGTCATCTGCAACCCTCTCTCTTCCTTTAAATTTTACTGCACCTTTTCATTAAAATATAAATGTAATTCCTATTCTTGGACCTAATGATTCCCTACTTTGGCTTCACATAACAGGAAGAACTCCAGCCTAAGAGTTAGGAATTTCTGATTTATTTACTAAGTACAACACCTAGCTCTCTCTTTACCCTCGGCTCCCACAATGGCTGTGCTGGTTCTCTCTTTACCCTGGGCTCTGCCACTGACTGTGTAGCCTCAGGCTATTAATTTAGCCATCAGAGCCTCAATTTACTTATTGTTAGGTGAAAAGATTAAATCACTGTTGTGGTTTTGTTATGTGATGGTGGTGGTTTGTTTTTCCTTTGTTAATACTAAAACTCTTTCAACAATCTAATGAAATTCATGAACTCTCTAAGGTAAAGCACATTCACACACACATTTTGCAAATAATTTCCAAGTGTTTACAAACTTCCCAGAGCCTATTCATGGACTTGAGCCTAATAATCCTTAGACTGGATATACCCCTTTCTTAATAGTTCTCTCTGGCACTAATTCCTCTTAAAATTAAAAATTAAAAAATTGCAATTTCTATTCCTGCTAAGAATTCATATTTGAGAAAAATGGTTCTGACATCTCTCAGCCATATTCTGATAATCAGAATTTTTAAAAGTCCCTATGCTAAGAAGGTAAGTGGTTTAGGCAAAAAAAGCTCCATAAATCTCAATCTCCTAACCTTTTGATCTGCCCACCTTGGCCTCCCAAAGTGCTGAGATTACAGGCATAAGCCACCTGTTTTTTGCCTCCTAGAAATAAAAGCTAATCACTTGTAGAATTTGGTGGCATTCTCCCTTTGGGTAATTGCTCCAGCCATGTGAAATCCTTGCTTCTCCTTTGCCTTCCACCATGACTGTAAGTTTCCTGAGGCCTTCCTAGAAGCAGAAGCCATTATGCTTCCTATACAACCTGCAGAACCTCTTTTCTTTATAAATTTACCTAGTCTCAGGTATTTGTAGCAATGTGAGAACAGACTAATACAGAAAATTGGTACTGACGAGTGGGGCGTTGCTATAATGATACCTGAAAATGTGGAAGCATCTTTGGAATTGGGTAACTGGCAGAAGTTGGAAGAATGTGGAGGCTCAGAAAAAGACAGGAAGATGAGGGAAAGTTTAGAACTTCCTAGAGACTTGTCAAATTATTGTGACCAAAATGCTGATAATGAAGTCCAGGCTGAGGAGGTATCAGATGGAGATGAGGATCTTATTGGGAACTGGAGCACAGGTCATTTTTGCTATGATTTAGTAAAGAAACTGACTGCATTGTGCCCTTGCTCTAGGGATCTGTGGAACTTTAAATTTGAGAGAGATGATTTAGGGTATCTGGTAGAAGGAATTTCTAAGCAGCGAAATGTTCAAGATGTGGTCTGGCTGCTTCTTCTAACAACATATACTCATATGTGTGAGCAAAGAAAAGATCTGAAACTGGAACTTATATTTAAAAGGGAAGCAGAGAGTACAAGTTTGGAAAATTTGCAGCCCAGCCATGTGGTAGAAAAGAGAAGCCTATTTTCTGGGGAGGAATTCAAGAAGGCTGCATAAATTTGCATAACTAAAAGGAAGGCAAATATTGATAGACAAGACGATGGAGAAAAGGGTTCCAAGGCATTTCAGAGACCTTTGCAGCAGCCTCTCCCATCACGGGTCCAGAGTCCTAGGAGGGAAGAATAGTTTCCTTGGCTGGGCCCAGGGCCCTGCTGCCTTATGTAGCCTTAGAACACTGCTCCCTGCATCCCAGCCACTCCACCTCCAGCCATCTCTCTCAACATTCTTTGAGAATGCCATGGCTAAAAGGGGCCCAGGTACAGCTCCGGCTACTGCTTCAGAGGGTGTGAGCCATAAGCTTTGGCAGCTTCCATGTGGTGTTAAGCCTGAAGGTGCACAGAGTACAAGAATTGAGGCTTGGGAGCCTCCATCTAGATTTCAGAGGATGTATGGAAACACTTGGATGTCCAGGTAAAAGCCTGCTGCAGGGGTGGAGCCCTCATGGAGAACCTCTACTAGGGCAATGCAGAGGGGAAATGTGGGGTTGGAGCCCCCACATAGAGTACCCACTGGGGAACTGCCTAATAGATAGGCAGTTGAGAAGAAGGCCACCATCTTCCAGACCCTGGAATGGCAGAGCCACTGACAGCTTGCCACCATGTGCCTGGAAAAATTGCAAGCACTCAATGCCAGCCCTTAAGAGCAGCCATGGGGGCTGACCCCTGGAAAGCCACAGGGGCAGAGTTGCCCAAGGATTTGGGAGCCCACCCCTTGCACAAGTGTGCCCTGGATGTGGGACATAATGTCAAAGATTATTTTGAAGCTTTAAGATTTAATGACTGCCCTGCTGGATTTCAGACTTTTATGGGGCCTGTAGCCCCTTTCTTTTAGTTGATTTCTCCCTTTTGGAGTTGGAATATTTACCAAATGCCTATATCCCCATTGTATCTTGGAAGTAACTTACTTTTTTTTGATTTTACAGACTTATGGATGGAAGAGACTAGTCTTGTCTTAGATGAGACTTTGGACTTTTGAGTTAATGTTGGAATGAGTTAACACTTTGAGCAACTGTTGGGAAGGCATGATTGTATTTCTCAATGTGAGAAGGACTTGAGATTTGAGTGGGGCCAGGAGTGGAATGATATGGTTTGTATCTGTGTCCCCACCCAAATCTCATGTTCAATTACAATCCCCAGTGTTGGAGGTGGGGCCTGGTGGGAGATGATTGGATCATGGGGGCAGATTTCCCCTTTTGGTGCTGTTCTCATGATAGAGATAGAGTTCTCATGAGATCTGGTTGTTTTAAAGTGTGAGGCACCTCCGCCTCTCTCTCTTCCTTCTGCTCTGGCCATGTGAAGTGCTTGCTCCCCTTCCCATCCATGATTGTAAATTTCCTGAGGCCTCCCCAGAAGCTGAGAAAATGCCAGCATCATGCTTTCTGTATGGCCTGTGGAACCATGATCCAATTAAACCTCTTTCCTTCTTAAATTACCCAGTCTTAGATATTTCTTTATAGCAATGTGAGAAGAAACTAATACAGTAATATTTCTCCATCTTTCAATCGGCTCCATAAATTGTGACTGACATGTTTAGTAACTTGAAACTCCCACTTCTGCTATATTTATTTGGGAATGCTGTATTGAATTTAAATAGATATGTTGTAAATAAAAAAGTTTAAAAATATTTTTATATTCAAACAGCAGTTAATAATTGGGTAAAGTGGGAATTATATTGCAAAATCATTGTGAGCTATTTACCTTTTAAAAGTATAACTTTTCTAGCTCTAGCACTAAAAATGGCCCACAGAAGAATTATCCATTTTAGACTCATGGAACAATTTGATATGCACCCTTAGAACCCTAAATGAGGTCTCTAATACAGCACTGAAAGAATGAAGGCTTGGTGAAAAGTAGATAATTCCATAACTTGGTGCCTATAATATCTTATTTCCAGAAAGCAAAATGCTTTCAGACTATGACTATGTGGGTGACACTGACAAGACAAGAACAAGCTTAAAAAATCTTCCACTGGAGATATTACAGTTTGAACAATACAAAGGAAACACCTAAAAGTATATTTCACTGGAACAAGTGTGAGAAAAATCATGATCATATAATAGTATTCCAGAAAGGATAAACCATAAAGTGTGCTAAAAGAACATTTCAACTCACGAAAAGGATGATTATGTAGTATATATTAATTAGTGGTTATCATGTTATCCTATTTTTTATCACTTTACTATTTAATTGTATAGTATTGGCATTTTTATTATATCAGGAAATTATTGGCTGGGCATGGTGGCTCACACCTGTAATCCCAGCACTTTGGGAGGCCGAGGCAGGAGGATCACTTGAGGTCAGGAGTTTGAGACCAGCCTGGCCAACATGGATAAACCCTGTCTCTACTAAAAATACAAAAAATTAGCCAGGTATGGTGGTGGGCGCCTGTAGTCCCAGCTACTTGGGAGGCTGAGGCAGGAGAATCACTTGAACCCGGGAGGTGGAGGTTATAGTGAGCTGAGATCACGCTGCTGCACTGCAGCCTGGGTGACAGAGCAAGATACTATTTCAAAAAAAAAAAAGAAATTATTAAATATATTTGTTCATTTGTTTAAGCATATCAAAATTTGTGGTTATAAGCATAGTTGGTCCATTGATCATGGCAGCAAGAATGAGAGTTGATAAAAGAGGAAAAGTAAAATATTAGAAGGGTGTGGAATCCAGTCAATTCGCAGAGTAATTAGTTACAATCTGGATAGAGGGCTCATTACATCATCAATTCAAATCAAGAGCCCAAACATTGTGAAAGTGATCTCTGCTATAAGATGGATACATGCTCCAGGTTTTCAAGGAAAAAATGCTGGCCTGAAAAGGTCCACTACGTTAGAAGGATTTCGGTTTGTATTGTCAGTATGCCTATGCTTCTGCTACAGAACAAAACACCATAAAACTTAGTGGCTTAAGTTTTCTCTGAATAGTTTCCCCTATTCTGTGGGACTCTTCTGGTCTGGTCTGTTTTGTCTTTGTGCTGAATGTTCAAGGCTGAATGGTCAATGTCTGGTAGTTGGACGGTTGCTTGGCCTAGGGAGGCTTCAACTAGGATGGCCTGAATCTGCTCCAGGTGATGGCTCATCCTCCAGTAGGTTAGCTCAGGCTTTCCACACGTGGAAGCCTAAGGATTCCAAAAACCTGCAAGGGAGAACAAGCCCCAGTATGTCACATTTGCTATTGTCCCATTGGCCAAAACAATTCTAATGAAAAACTCAGAATCAGTGTTGGAGAGGATTACTCAAGAAGATGTGAACAAATTGGGGACTGTTACTTTAATAACCTATTGCAGTTTGTTCAGTTTGATTCATTGTATTTTTCAGGTATATATTTTTGAGGTATTGTTTAAAGGCTTATAAATAATTTTCATGTTAAATTTATAGGTCTAGTCGTTGGCATTTGAAATGTTTAAGAGAAGCAGGCACAGAAAATTTCAATGTGATTTGAGATGTCTAAGGAAATTTAATTAATCAAGTTCTAAGTAGTATTAAATATTTAAGAAGGATTTGGCCTGTTACATTTATGAGTTAACACATGAATCAAAGAACAAGCAAAAGTGATTGTTTTTATTTTCTACAAATATTATCAGAGTAATGAATGGACTTATGAGCTTTGTTAAGTTGAATTTAAAAGCTTGAGAAAAACTAGGATTTAGATTTTGCAACTCAATTTAAGGGACTAAAAATCAAAACACATTACTGTGAAAAAGTTTTCCACACGCAGAAACCCCGCTTGAGATTTAGTAAATCTCAGTTGACACATTTATTCAATAGTTTATTCAAATCATATTTATGGCCAGGCAAATGGCTCACACCTGTAATCCCAGCAATGTGGGAGGCCGAGGCAGGTGGATCACTGGAGGCCAGGAGTTTGAGACAAGCCTGACTAACATGGCAAAACCATGTCTTTACTAAAAATACAAAAATTAGCTGGGTGTGGTGGGGCACACTTGTAATCCCAGCTACTCAGATGGTTGAGGCATGAAAATAACTTGAACTGGAGAAGCAGAGGTTGCAGTGAGCTGAGATTGTGCCACTGAACTAACTATAGCCTGGGTGACAGAGCAAGAGTCTGTCTCAAAAACCAACCAAACAAACAAACAACCATATGAACCATATGTATTAATCATCTACAGTGTATGTATTAATCTAGGCACTGGGAGTATGGTTGTCTTAGTCTGTCTTCTGTTACCTAACAGAATACTATATGCTGGATAATTTATAAAGAAAAAAAAACTTACTTAGTTCATGAATATGGAGGCTGAGAAGTCCAAGAACATGGCACTGGCGTCTGGTGAGGGCCTCCTTGCTGTGTCACAACATGGCAAAGGGCATCACATGACAAGTGGTCAAGCATGTGCATGTCAGCTCAGGTCTTTCTTTCCCTTCTTATCTTCCTCTTCTTATAAAGCCACCAGTTCCATCATGGGGGTGGGGGCCCACACTGATGACCTTATCTAATCCTAATTATGTCCTAAAGGTTCCACTTCCAATCAACATTTGAATTTGGGGATTAAGTTTCCAAGACATGAAATTTAGGGGACACATTCAAACCATAGCAATGTTAGGAAATGACTCCCAGTCCCTTCCTTCATTCAGACTTAACACCAGCAGCGCACATATTGGAAAAAACAATTCAAACAAACGGCATGATTTCAGATAATGGAGACACAAATATCAGTCAATCAGAGACTAATTCCTAATCCCATTTTCCTCATTGTGAAGGGTATTCTGTCTCCTCTCCCATTTTCCAGGAATGGGATCAGTGGGCATTTCCTTTTTCCCATAGCCAAAGACACCACCAAGTGCTCCATTTCCTACCTGACTGATTCTTGATACCAGTCTACTGCTTCTTTCATAATCAGTCAGTGAATCCAAAACTGTTGTTTGGCTATCAACTGTCTCCTTTAGACACTTCTCGAGGGCGCTTCTGTCAGGGAAGAGAAGTGAAGAGAAAAGTAAGAATCCAGAGCACATGCAATAAACAAAGCAACCCAAAGTTGATAAGCATTCAGCAAGCATTCACTGAACACCTCACATTCAGCTAAGTGTGAATGGTGAGAAAGCAACACAGGAGGGAGGAAGCCAGGCTCCTTGCCATCAGGGGGGATCAATCTTGTAGACAAGGCAAAATTACATTTCACCCAAGACACCTATATTTTTTACATTTTAAGATTTCTAAAATGGGACTTCATCTTACAATCATGACACCTTCGACTGGATGAAATACAGTAACTACAACACAAAGCAGCATTGTGCCCTGAGAGGTGTGCAAAGCCTACAGCAATTAGGACACTGGACCAAGGTCAGGGTGCATATTAGAATCACCTGGGAAACTTTTAAAACTACCTTATGCCCAGATCCCACTCCAGACCAACTGAATCAGTATGAAAGAGTGGGGTTGAGCATTTTGGCATTGGTACTTTTTTTTTTTTTCAGACGGTGTTTTACTTGCCACCCAGGCTGGAGTGCAGTGGCATGATCTCAGCTCACTGCAGCCTCTGCCTCCTGGGTTCAAGTGATTCTCCTGCCTCAGTCTCCCGAGTAGCTGGGACTACAGGTGCCTGCCACCACGCCTGGCTAATTTTTTGTGTTTTTAATAGAGATGGGATTTCACCATGTTGACTGGGCTGGTCTCGAACTCCTGACCTCAGGTGATCCACCCACCTTGGCCTCCCAAAGTGCTGGGATTACAGGCATGAGCCACCACGCCTGGCCAGCAATGGTAGTTTTTAAAGCACCCCGTGAGATCCTAATATGTAGCCAGAGTTGAGAACCAGGATAGTAATTTCAAATGAGAGTACACATTCCCTGAGGTTACCTGAAGACTTTCCATGGGGCATGCTGACACGAATACTTTGGTAGAGGTCAGCACACTAGGGCTTATGGACGAAAGCTGCTGCCTGTTTCTGTACCCCCCAGGGAGCTAAGATGGTTTTTACATTTTTTAATGGTTGGGGGAAAAATCAAAAGGGAAGTAATATTTGGGGACACATGAAATTCAAATATAAGTGTCCATAATTAAAGTTTTATTGGAGCATAGCCATAATCTTTTGTTTACATATTGTCTATGGCTGCTACAAGGTTGGAGTTAAAGAGTTGGGATAGGACCATATGGCTGGCAAAGCCTGAAATATTTACTATCTGACACTTTACAGAAAAAATTTGCGGAGGCTGGCTTGAAGAGAATGAATCTTCAGAATCTCAACATTTTATGTCCTATTCCAGAAACTGACCTGCCTGTAAAGGTACAGCTGTTAAGGTGTCAGGTGTGGGTGGAGGCTCATCCCCTTTCCCATGCTTTTTTCATAGTTGTCCTCCCACTTTCAGAAGAAAGGTAGGCCTCTCACCAACACTGGGGTATGAAAAAAAACCCTAGGCACCAGACAAAAGAATAATCCCAAATACTGGTGTCTGATGGGGACTCTGACCACTGGGTAACCATATGTATCTATATATCGATATATATGTGCATTTGTGTGTGTGTAATATATAGTAAATCAGGTGAGTTCCAAATATTGCCTTACCAAACCTGAAGGAGAACCCAATCAAGTTGTCAGCTGGCAAATTATTGAAAGTATTTGGCTGAGTGTAGTGGTGCATGCTTGTAGTCCCAGCTACTTGGGAGACTGAGATGGAAGGACCTCTTGAGGCCAAGAGTACAAGTCCAGCTTGGGCAACCTAATGAGACCACATCCCTAAAAAAAAAAAAAAAAATTAGTGACGGATGGCTATGTGATTTTTGGCATATAACTTAGAAAGGGTTCAAAGAATTGAGTAACATAGTGATAAAAAATTAATGTCATAATTATTTATGGAAACAAGGTACTTTAAGGCTTACATCTAAAATATGTTAAAATGCTGAGTATTGTCTCATAGGAATAAGCAATATTCACAGATACGTGAACTAATTAGGAAGAAAAAGCCCATTAATTTCATTAATGCCAGCAGGGGGCAAAGGCCTTGAGCGTTTTGGACAGTGAGAAGCCCCATTGCCCCAGATCTGGGAGATCCTCTCCCGGCCGGTGGAATATGCAAGGGAAAGGCCATGTGAGTCTAGATTCCATGGTGTTAATGCCAGGCAGAGGCAGACTTTAACAGACAAGGAAATGAAGATGATGATGGGTTCAGGAGGAAGAGGATAAAAAGTTTACCGGGCCGGGCGCGGTGGCTCACGCCTGTAATCCCAGCACTTTGGGAGGCTGAGGCGGGTGGATCACAAGGTCAGCAGTTCGAGACCAGCCTGACCAACATGGTGAAACCCCGTCTCTACTAAAAATACAAAAAAATTAGCTGGGCTTAGTGGCGGGCGCCTGTAATGCCAGCGACTTGGGAGCCTGAGGCAGGAGAATTGCTTGAAACCGGAAGGCGGAGGTTGCAGTGAGCCGAGATTGCACCTCTGCACTCTAGCCTGGGCAATGAGAGCAAAACTCCATCTCAAAAAAAAAAAAAAAAAAAAGTGCAGTTTACCAAAGGCAAATGTGGCCGGAGCATGTAGGATGAACTAGGGAAGAGGAGGCTCGAAGCCCCGGACTGGCCATGAGGCTGGCAGGAACCTAGAAGAGGGGAAACGCGTGCCCGACTTGGTATCGTCCTGGAGGGTCCAGAGAGAAGAGGATGCAGGCAGCATACGTTTTAAGGGATGAGTCGTCGGAACTGGATGCTAATCAGATATAATCAGCTGACGACATTCCTTCTGTGGAGTAAGCCACTTGGGAAGACAGTCTTGGGTGCGGAGGGGACCCAGCGGGACGAGACCAGGTGCCTGCTGGTCTCCCAGGTTCGCGCAGGAAGGCTGGGAATTTCCTTGCCTCCTCCCCACCGCACCATCCTCCACCCCCGGCCCGGAGCTGTCTCTACCTGGAGAGAAAAAACGGAAAGGCCGAGAAATCAGAGCCAGAGGGCAGAGTGAAAGGGGTGGGGATGGGAGAGGATACAAAGGGGTTAGGACGAAGAAAACGGACTTCCTAGAGTCCCGACTTGAGGGCTTGACTTCAAGAAGAGAAGAGAAGTCTGAAACGGGGGCGAGAGCAAAGGCAGGGGGTTGGGGTGGTCGGGGGGGGGCGGCGATTATAATCGACTTTTATGGCTTGACGGCCAGGGCAGAAATTAAATTTGGGGGCCGGCTAAGGCTAGAGAGTAAGGTGACGGCTCGCCCCGCGGGTTTGGAGCTGTGCGCTGGGGGCCAAGGGAGCAGCGGGAGGAGCGCATGCCTGGGGCGCACGGGCCGGGAGGGGCGGGAGGAGAGCCCAGTCCCCAGCTCAGATTACTCTCCTAGGCATGGTCCCCACCAGAGCCGGGGCTGGAAGCTGGAAATCCGAGTAGAGCTGACTCGGACTTAGCTGCCCAAGGGAAAGCCTCCGGGCGGTCCTCGCTGCGCCCCTAGTCCGGGGCCCCGACCCCTCCCGGACACTGCTTGGGCCATGCGGGCGCCGCGTTGCCGGCCACTCGTCGTCCCGGGGTCCCAACTGGGGCCGCTCCTGCTGTTCTAGAGCTTGCTGGCCCCGGCGCGCCTCTCTTGCAGCTCCTGTACTACTCGAGGGGACCACGTCGTCCCGGAGGCGCGGCCATCGAGAGGATGCTGCGGCCGCGGGGCGGCGGGGGCGGGCGTTTCAGGGCTACTCACCCGAGCTGGGAAGGCAGGAAGTCTGTGCTGGCTGGGGGTTGGTCTCAGAGGGACTCTGGGGCTTGGACACAAAAATCGCGGCGCACTGGGGAGGACACCCGGAGCGGTGGGAACTGCGGTGTGGACCCGGGAGAAAAGGGGGTTGGAGGTGGGGGGAGATCGCGCGGCACGCGTTGCATAACCTGACCTGCCCTCCTGGGCTGGAGGCAGGAGTGACACCTCCGCCTGAGCCGCAGTTCAGAGAAGGCTACCGCGGCGCTGGGTCCTGCGGGACAGCCAGCAGGGCTGGGGTGGAATGGGGGCAGGGGAAGGAGCCCTGAGAGGAGCCAGGATGGGTCTGGACCTGGCTCCAAGTCGCGTGCCCTACACACCCCCTCTGCGCTGCCCAGCGGGGCACGGCCCGACCTCGGAAGGCCCATCCGGCTCTCAGAAGTGGCCGCTCTACCAGCTGCCCATAATGCTGCCGAGGAGCCTGTGCCAGTCCCACGGCTGCCGTGCAGCAAGCGGGCGGCCCGACTGACTTCAGCCACGTCCCCTGCGTCAGACAAGTGGGCGTCCCCTGCGTCGAGACAAGTGGGGGATCCGCGAGGCCTGCAGGGGCGCAGGGACCAGAGTGCTAAGACGTGGCATGACCTTTCAGGGAGAACTGCGCAGAGGGTGGCCAAGGGTCACCTCCCTCGAGGGGCGAAGCCCTGAGATGTGAGGATGATTCTTAAGACAGCGCCCTTCCCGCCCCTTCCAACCCCCCAGACCACCACCCGGGTCTGGGAACAGGGTGAGCGCATGGCGAGAGGTTGTCTGGTTTTGTAGCTATCAAGTTGTACCCCCGCTGTGCCCATAGGAAGTGACTCATCTGCTTGTCAGGTAGTGGCCTTGCTGTGAGCCAGGACCATATTAAGAAAAGAAAGAAAAAAAGGAGCAGCAAAACACTGTGCCCCTGCACAATGTGCTCTCCTTTCTTCTGCCCTCCCTCTCCTAGGCTGTCCTCTTCTTCCTCCACTTGTAGTTTGCTCAGCCCCCTCCCATCCACTGCCACCCCCGCCCAGTTGAATAATGCTCGTATCTGAGTCAGCGGATGTGAAACAAAGGGTTATTTCTCCTTATCTAATTTTGTGGAAGATTGACTAAAAGAGGGTGGAGAGTGTGTCTATTTAGCAGGAAAAAGATGTTTTTAACGTGAATAATATTGAGAAATGTGCTGTGACTTTCACTGTTGGGCAAAGCAGGGAGACGCCTGCCTAGCTGGCCCTTCCTGCAGGCTTGGTAAAAAGTCCTCTCCGGTGGAGGGTTGGTGGCCATTTGTCAGGTACCTAAAGAATACAAGGCGCTATGCTAGGAACTAGAACTGTACAGAAATATCCCGAAGGCTCTAATGTCATGGGACCTAACTCATTTCGGAGGAAGTAAGGCTTGAAGGTAGAGAACTATCTTGCAAGGCCGCCTGTGGCAAGCTCTTTGCACAATCAGTGAATGTACAGAAATCCAGGGTAAACAAAAATTACTTCCAACTGGGATATACTTCATAGAAAAGGCATCTGGGGTGGGGCGCAGTGGATAACGCCTGTAATCCCAGCACTTTGAGGGGCTGAGGTGGGTGGATCACCTAACTTCAGGAGTTCCAGACCAGCCTGGCCAGCCTGGCCAACACGATGAAACCCTGTCTCTGCTAAAAAAAATACAAAAAATTAGCTGGGCGTGGTGGTGGGTACCTGTAATCCCAACTACTTGGGAGGCTGAGGCAGGAGAATCGCTTGAACCCAGGAGGCGGAGGTTGCAGTCAGCCAAGATGGCGCCACTGCACTCCAGCCTGGGCAACGAGAGCAAAACTCTGTCTCCAAAAAAAAAAAAAAAAAAAAAGAGAAAAGAAAAAGAAAAGGCATTTGGACAGCCCTGGGGTTGGCAGAAGACTTCCGGATGGTAGAAGCCAAGGTCCTTGGGTGGGACAGGATAAGGTATGTGGCTAGAGTGGAGAATCTGTGTGGCAGGAATGTGAGAAAAGATGCCAGAAAAGGAGATAGGGACTCCTCTGTGTGTGGCATGGGAACTGGGCTTTGACTTTCATTGCATAGTGAAGCAACTGAAAGTCATGAGCAGGGGCACAGCGTGGCTCCAGAGAGGGCTGGAGAGAGATGCTTGCTGGCCATATTTGTCTGCAATCTTCCACTCTTCTTTCTTCTTACTCTACCCTTTTTTTTTTTTTTGACAGAGTCTCGCTCTGTCACCCAGGCTGGAGCGCAGTGGTGCCATCTCAGCTCACTGCAAGCTCCGCCTCCTGGGTTCAAGCCTTTCTCCTGCCTCAGCCTCCCAAGTAGCTGGGACTACAGGCACCCACCACCACGCCTGGCTAATTTTTTGGTATTTTTTTAGTAGAGATGGGGTTTCACCATGTTAGCCAGGATGGTCTTGATCTTCTGACCTTGTGATCTGCCTGCCTCGGCCTCCCAAAGTGCTGGGATTACAGGCGTGAGCCACCGTGCCCAGCCACACTCTACTCTTTGTAAACCTGGCTCACATAAAACTCATCTCCATGGGCAAACAGCTCTGCTCCAGTGACTGGTCGTTTTCAAGAGAAAGAAACCCCGGGCTCTCTCTCTCTCCCTGGTGTTGTAGTGATATAGTGAGGGGCTTACAGATGTGGCTTCAGAAGACCTGGATTTGCATACCAACTTCACTGCTTACTATCTCTGCAATCTTGGGGAGTTGCTGCCTGGGTCTGGGTTTCCTCAATTCCACCATGAAGGCACTGAGTGAGCCTTCTTAAAGTGAGCCTGCACCACCTTCCAGATTATAAATTTCTATTGAAAGCCCAGTTAGATTTAGCCCTCCATGACTCTATTCTGAGACAGAGAGGAGGCTTTTGCAGGCCTGCTCTGTTGCTGACTCAGGGCTGCAGGCACAGGACGTGGGGCTTGATAAATAAGTGTTGAATGAAAGAACAAAAGAATGCAATGCATGAATAAAGCAATGAATGGTTAGCTCTGCTTGGAAAGCATTGGTAAGCTGAGACCAGCCCCAGCACGGGTTCTGGCTGCCTGGGGTTAGCACCTCAAAACCCAGATAACTCTGATGTTCCCACAAAAATCAATACTGGAGAAAGCATCAGTAATTGCATTTCCTGGGCAGTCGTTTGGCTTACCCTTTCCCTACCTGTCTTTCTTGCCATTTCCCATGACTGTCATCCAGAGGAATCTCTGTAAGGAAAGACAGCAGCAACTTGGAGCTGGTCACTGTGAATGTTTACACACAATTTTATAGACAGAATGTGTTTCATCACAAATTCTTTTTTCCTGAGCACTTGCTATTTTGACCTGTAGTGTTAGAACAACTGTTTGGTTTAACCCTTTTATCTTCTGGTTGCCAGAAGCTACTTTCAGCCACACCACTCTTCCAGAGTGTACAAAGCTGTGTTATTTGTGCCAGGCACTGTGCCAGTGGTTCACATTTCATCCCATGCTCACAACACCCTATGAGGTCAGCATGATTAACCTGTTTATTAGAGGCTGGGTGATTGGCCCGAGATCAGCAGCTAGTGCAGGTCAGAGCAGGGCTATGCATGTAACATCAAAGCCTACTTTTCTTTATCAGGCATTCAGTAATGTTCACTGAATGCACAGAATTGAATATAATCTTTCATTTCTCTTTTTAACCTTTACCACTGTGGATAGAGAATAGTGGCCTACCTTTTGGAAGTGTCCCATTTTTATTATTTAGAGAGGCAGCATAGCGGCAATTAAGAGCATGGGTTCTGGAGCAAAACTGCGTGGTATAAGTCTTTGCTATGTGGGACCTTGGGCCACTTAGCTCACCTCCCTGGGCCTTAGTGCTTTCATCAGTACAAATGGCATAAGGGTACTTAGCTCATAGGATTGTTGTCAAGATTAAATGAGATACATGTATGAAGTGCTTAGTGTGATGCCTGGTGCGGAAAAGGAGCAATAAATATTAGCTGCTCTCACTGTCATCTTCATTGTCATGAATATTCTCCTCTGATTTTTGCAAGATCTTTCATGTAATGCCATTCACAAACAGGAAGCTCATAAATAGTATTCTTATCCTACTATTTTTAAAGAATGGGTGGTTGGCAGTTCAAAGTGAAGAAATTAGGGATGACTGTTGGAGAGGAATTTGTTGGACAGAATAAGATGTGCCTTAGTATCTAAAGAAGATTCTTAATGAATTTTTAACATTATTAAAAATGTTAGGTTAATGTAAATTCTACATTGGAATTAAATTATGAGGAAGATGTCCACTATTTCTTCCCTAAACAAATGAATATCTTTTGACTTACAAATAGATATGATATCTTTTGACTTATAATAGATGAAAATTACATTACTATTATAGAACCAAACTTGGGTCTGCTCTCCCGGTACAGTAAAACCAGATATCTACAGTGAAGTTTTGCAGCAATAGAAGGAAAAGCATTTATTTGTAGGGTGCCAAACAAAAACGACTAGACAGCTAAAAACCCGTGTGGCTAGAACTGCTAGTAAGAGGGAGAATGATATAAAAACAGAATTAGAGAGGAAAGCAAGGGGCGAGATTACTGAGGGCATTGGGGTGAGATGGAGCAGGAGCCCCCTCTCTAGAGGCCTGAAAACCCCAAGCATGGAAATAAAGAAAAATCTGGAGTTCCTTAAAGGGAAATTCCAGGAACCTAGCTAGCCCCAGAAGTAAATAAGAAATTTGTCAAACAAAAAGGTAATAGTAGTCTAAAGCAATAGCCAAGGAAGTTAGAGTTCCAGAGATGTTTGCTTTCCTTATGGAAACTAAAGATAACATCTTAACATATGTCCCTGAGTTGTCTTTCAGGGCCCTCACTGAATGGATCTGCTGGCCTGTAGACCTCAGATAAGTGGAAATTGAAAACTGAACTCTGACCACATTCTTTGTCCTAAAATTTTTCCAGAGGGGCTTAGAGAATGTCACAGTCCCCTGGGGGCTCTGGGGACACAGAGCCAAACTATATCATTCTGCTTGACATTTTTCTGCTGATCCCAGTTTTTTTTTTTAAAAAGCTTTTCCTCCTAAACCAATTGCAAATGAGAAAGTCTTTGAATCTACCTATGACATGTAAGCCTGCTTCACGATATCCCGCCCTTTTAGGCCTAAGCCAACATGTAACCTCCATGCATTGATTTACAATTTTGCCTGTAGCTTTTGCCTGTGCTACAGGCAAAATCATAAAACAATACATGGAGGTTACATCTACCCCTGCTTTTAAAAATCCCAGCCTGCAAGCCATCCGGGAGTTCAGGTCTTAAGCTTGAGCTGCCCTGATTCTGCTTGCTTGACGCCCTGCAATCAGTGCCTCACTTTCTCTCACTGCTATCCCAGTGTCAGTGATTGGCTTTACTGAGCCAGGTGAGTAGATCGAAGTTCAGTTCTATAACATGTCTCTCTTTTGTCTTAAAATAACCCAAGTTTATTTTTGGCTTAAGGGCTTTTGAACTTTCTATTCTTGAAGCACTCTTACTCAGATATTCATTGAAGTTGGTCTATTTAGGGGAGAAGGCATTGAGAAAAAGATAATTAAAAATGATTTTTTAGGCTTTTGGTTTGATCAACTTGGATGGATGGTGGTTTTCCCTTTACTGAGGTGTGAATAGTGGGGGAGGAGATGTGGAATTTGAGATGTCTGTTACTAGCTTACGTTTATAGAATGCTTAAGTATTGTATAACAAATTATCCTGAAACTTAGTGGCGTAAAGCAGCATTTATTATCTCATTGTTTCTGGAGATTAGAAATCTAGTTGTGGAGTAGCTGGGTCCTCTAGCTCTGGGACTCTTGCAGGGCTGCAGTTCTAGGACTCAACTGGGAAGGATTGTCTTCCTAGCTCCCTTGGGTGGTTGCCAGCAGAATTCACTTTCTTGCAGGTTGTTGAACTAAGGTTTCATTTACTCACAAACTGTCAGCCAGAGGTCTCCCTCAGTTCCTTGCCACATGGACCTCTCCATAGAGCAGCTCACAACATGGCATGACTTCATCAGAGAAGGCAAGACACAGTGCTAGCAAGATGGAAGTCACAGTCTTTAGTAACCTAATCACAGAAGCCATGTTAAATCCGTATTAGTTGGGGTCCTCCAGAGAAACTGAACCAATGGGATATATATGTATATGTGTGTGTGTGTGTGTGTGTGTGTGTGTGTGTGTATATATCTATATCTATATCTATATCTATATCAAGATGTATTATGAGGGATTAGCTCATGTGATACGGAGGCTATCTGCAAGCTGGAGGGCCAGGAAAGCCAGTAGTGTAGTTCCACCCTAAACTTGAAGACCTAAGAACCAGAAGCAAAGATGTTCAACGGCAGGAGAAAATGGATGTCCTTGCTGAAACAGAGTAAATTTGTCCTTTTTTTTTTAGAGGGAGTCTTGCTTTGTCATCCAGGCTGGAGTGCAGTGGTGCAATCTCAGCACACTGCAGCCTCCACCTCCTGGGTTCAACCGATTCTCCTGTCTCAGCCTCCTGAGTAGCTGGGACTACAGGCACCCGTCACCAGGCCCAGCTAATTTTTGTATTTTTAGTAGAGACAGGATTTCGCCATGTTGATCAGGCTGGTCTTGAACTCCTGACCTTGAGTGATTTGCCCACCTCAGCCTCCCAAAGTGCTGGGATTACAGGTGTGAACCACAGCACCTGGCCAGTTTGTCCTTTCACTATCTTTTTGTTCTATCTGGGTCCTCAATGGATTGGATGATACCCACTTACATTGGTGAGTGCAATCTTCTTTACTCAGTCTACTGATTCAAATGCCAATGTCTTACGGAAATATCCTCAAAGATACACTGAGAAATAATATTATACCTGCTATGCGGGCATCCCTCAGCCTCATGAAGTTGACATTAAAAAATTAACTGTCACACCCTCACTTTTGCCAAATTCCATGTATTAGAAGCAAGTCATTAGGCTCAGCCCACACTCTAGGGGAAGGAATTATACAAGGGCTGATCACCAAGAGGTGGAGACCACTGGGAGCTATGTCTGAAGCTGTCTATCACAGGTATGTGGGCACTATCCTAAAATGCTTTACATGTCTTAAGTCACATAATCCTTCCAGCACAGCTTAAGATAGATATGCTATTATTGACTCAATTTCACAAATGAGATATCAAGAAGTAAAGTAACTTGCCTGTGGTCAAACAGCTAAAGTCAGTGGGGTTTGGAGATTTGAACCTAAGCTGTCTTGGTTCAGCATCTGTATTCTTAACCTGTTTGCTGCACTATTTGAAATGGAGGCGTCCAGTAAGAGCTGGAATCTGGACTTCTTGGGAGAGGATTGGACTGGCAAAAGAGATTGGGAGGATGAAATTAACGAATCCTAGAAGAATCACAACTGATTTTCAATTTGTTTCTCTTTTGCACCCAGACTTCTCTCCAGTGCCAAGGAGATAACTTTTCTCCTAGCATCTTTGTAACAGTGAAAAGGAGGCCTAGCTCAACAAACTCCATTTTGCTCCTAACACCCCCCTTCCCCCTCCAGGTGGTACCTTTTAGATTAACTAATTTTTATTATCTCTGCATGAAGGCCAAGAAAATGATATGATGGAAGGAATTTAGTTTGTAGTTTAACTTTAAAGCAAGGATAATAGGATGCTAGTTCCTTCCCAAAACTAACCTCCAAGGAGGTAAGGAGTGTGTACATACAAGGAACAATGTTATTTTAAAGATTTATGGGATCCTAGCTTTCACTCGGTATATGAAAAAATAAAATAATAATAAGAAATATATAATTAAAGATTTATAGGAGCATTGTGACCTGACCAAGGACAAAGAAGTTTTCCAACTCCCTCTCAGATGCTCTCTGCTGCCCAGATGCCTATAACCATCAGTCACCTCTTGAACTCCATCTCCTTCTACCCTCTTCCCTTAACAATAAAGGGACCGGAAATGCACATTGCCTTAAGACAGTTCTTTAGGACATTAGTCCATCATCTTCTCGGTTGAGCAGATAAACTGAGTTATTGCCCTCTTGCCCCAACACCTTGTCTCGTGACTTATTGACTGTCCTGCAGTGAGCAATACCAGCTTAGACTCCACTACATTATCTTGTAGTATTCATCTGTTCCCTTACTTTTGACAAGTGTTTACTGACTACCAACTATGTGTAAGGAAAGTGCTAGATCCTAGGGAATATATTTTTAGCTCTCTGGATACAGAAGATGAAATTTAGTTTGAGAAGTTATTGAACAACTTGTTCAAAACATCTACTTAACTGTCATCTATTTCAACTTGAACTGCCTTTCTATTAAATGTACCACTATTAAATGTTGTGATGGTACTAGAAAATCAGCAATTTGTAAAGCATTTGCACAAATTCTAACAAGGCTTACCACTTCGGCTTTTTCTATTATCTACTTAGCAATCAAAGCAACGCCTTAATTTAACGTATGATATTGAAAATAATTTTACAATATTTCCAATTAAGTTAATTTTCACATTGCTTTTGTGCTCTTTGTCATCACATGGAGAATGATGAATTCTATTTTACATTTCATTAGTGAACATAAGGTGTGTTTTTCCATTTGGGTCACTATTAGCTCTCTATTATCTAATTTCAAAAATACTGAGTTCAGTACCCAATCTACAAATTATACAGTAACCACTTCTCTAAATGAACCACAATTTAGAGTTAAGCTCACAAGCCATTTCTTCATTTGTGCAAATGTGTAACAAGCCAAAGCTTAATGGTTCATTTCAGTTAAGTAGGTTGCACAAAATTTAGAAGTTTGTTAGTAAGAAATGTGACCTAGAACCATTATGGAAATGAAGAAAAGATGAAATTACACAGTTTAGACCCATATTATCCAACTCCTAATTTAGTCAGAGATTATTGAAGTGACAACTCTCCTTTTTATGAAATAAAATACTTGAAAAAATAAGAACATTGTTCTGCTTTTAATCTCTGCTAAATAGACAGTTAGTTACCAGGAGAAATATGTTGTAAAAACCAGCCTATGAAGAATATCAGGAAAGAAAGTAATGTTACCTGGAAAATCTAACCTACTAAATTTTGATAAGCATATGAGCCACCAATCTAGTTACATTGCCAGGAAATTCTGATAAAAGGCAACTATTAATTTCTAAAGGATAAATCTGACAGAATCTCAGGATAATTCCATTTGGACTCCTTATTTTTTATTATTATTATTATCTTTTTTTTTTTTTTTAAATTTATTTATTTTTTTTTTTGAGACGGAGTCTCGCTCTGTCGCCCAGGCTGGAGTGCAGTGGCGGGATCTCGGCTCACTGCAAGCTCCGCCTCCCGGGTTCACGCCATTCTCCTGCCTCAGCCTCCCAAGTAGCTGGGACTACAGGCGCCCGCCACTACGCCCGGCTAATTTTTTTGTATTTTTAGTAGAGACGGGGTTTCACCGTTTTAGCCGGGATGGTCTCGATCTCTTGACCTCGTGATCCACCCGCCTCGGCCTCCCAAAGTGGGACTCCTTATTTTTTTTTAAGTTTTTGTGCTATTGCTATGGAAATATTCTGATGATTTACATGGTTGTGCTAGAGTTTTTTAATTTGTCTATTAGAATTGTGAGAACTTCCTTTACAAAAGTGCTCATTTTTATGTAGCTAAGAGACCAGTACAGATCTTCTCCAAAGAATATCATCATCACAAATTAAATAAAAACTTAGCATACAAAAGGATTCACATTTTACTGCTGAAAGTGCCTCCGGATCTAAATCAGCCCATCAATCAAGGCTTTCTTAGACACTGACTAAATGTTTAGCATAATCCTGAGTACTCTGGGGCTGTGGAACTCTGCATCTGCTGAACGCCAGGATCTAATGGGGAGCTTTATCAAATAAACAGGTTCCCGGTGGCTCCACTTCTGAAGATTCAAATTGGTGGCTTCTGGCATGAGGCTCTTGGGAATCTGGTTTTTTTGTTTGTTTGTTTGTTTTTCTTTTTTTGTCTTGTTTTGTTTTTAACATCACAGGTGATTCTGATGATTAGTCAGGACTGGGAACCATACCTGCTGTGGTTCCCAAAATCTGGTCCCTGGACCCACATTATCTGCATCACCTAGCAACTTATTAGAAATGCAAATTCTCAGGGCTGTGAATGGAAAATAAAAATCTCGGGACCCCGAACTCACTATGCCAAAGGGAAAGTGAAGCTTGGGAACTGAGTCACACAAAAGCAATCAAACTGCCTTCCTTTTTGTTCCCAACCAAATAGCTGCAAAATAGAAGGTCACATATCTTCCCAGGGGTCCTCCCTCACAAATTGCTCACAAGGAAATTCCTCGTGGACTCCACATCTTTCAGAATACATATCCCTCCTATAAACTTGCCCTAAAATAGAGTGCTGTTGAATCTTACCCTGACAATGCAAATTAACAGCTTATTTTCACAGGTAAGGGCCAAACATAAGACTAGAAATTCCTCCACCCACCCCAAACAAATGCATAATTGAGTTCTTCCTCTACTCTATGCTTACTTTATCTTATGTAAAATGTAGATATACGCAGCATGAGAAGAATGCATAATTGACTTTAACCCCACCACTCTCTTTTCACATGTAAAATGTGGATTCAGTGAGTAGTTTTTAAGGGCTAATAGAAGCCTCACAAGAATGTAAACATGTTACTGCCTACACCCAGCCTCTTTTTTTTTCTCCTTCCTCTTCTACCTGCTCTTTCCTCTTTAAATATTGAAGTCCTCAAAACCCTCTTTGGAAAAAGTACAGGCCGCAGATTCTACTGTAACTTGTGTTTCTTTTTCCCTGGCCACATCCTCAACCTTGGCAAAACAAACCTCTAACTCGATTGAGATCTGCCTCAGCCACTTTTTGGTTCACAGGCTCTATTCAGACCCACTAAATCATAGACTCTTGAAGTAGGGATTAACAATCTCTGTTTTATCAAGCCCTCCAGGTGATTTTTATGTTTGATACAGTTAAAGAATCATTTCAGATTTTTAATCTACTGAGCTTAATGACCTTTTCTTCATATGAAGATTGATGTCAAAGTTCTTTCTTTCTTTGCTGCAGAGCTAAGGAAATAGGACTTACTTTTTTCTCTTCGATTACCTAGCCAGCCACTATACCCTTCAGGGTTCTCTTATTCTTAATATGCCTGAAAAAGTGTGGAGAGGAAATAGCTTTCTCAACTTCCCACTTCCTTGCTGCTTGGGAAGACAAGAATATATGTAGACAGGCCCTTCTGCTTCCAAGGAAAATAGGAAGGAGATAACAAATGATAACCAATATGAAGATGTGTCAGAAGTTCTGGAATTTTAAAATGACTTTCTGCCCTGGTCTTGTACCCCCGGTTTTTATTCCTGATTATGGAGCTCACACCCTCCCCACTTTCTCACTCCTCCTTTAGCAAACCCTTATGACTCTTCACACCAATTCAAGGTCTAAAAAGAAAATACAGCCAGCCAGAGATGGCCTCTTTCAGCATAAATTTTATTTTTACTTGTTAATGGAAATCTCCCTAAAACAAAATTGTAAGAGTTAAAGAAACAGGAAAGAGACACGAAATGTGGTTTGACAGTAAAGACAGGTTTACTTTTGATAAAACCTGAGAGGGGCTTCTGGCTGACTTTGGTTAGGAGCACTTTCTCTTACAGACTAAGAGAACATATTGGTTTTAGGGTAAGGGGGCTTATTAGAAGCTTGGAATGTTTCTGTGTGAGGGACAAGTTTTATGGTGGGGTTGGAATGTCTCTGGGAGGAGGGGAGTTTATCTTGGGGCAGACATCTTTCTGGCTTGGAGTGGGGTTATCTCGGAGCTGGCATCTTCCTGGCTGGCGGGGGGTTATCTCGGGGCTGGCAAGTCTCTGATTGGGGAGGAGTTTGGAATGTTTCTGGTTGGAGATGTTATTTGTGGTTATTGTGGTTTATGCTGACCTTAGCCATTAGGCTGATACCCTTTGGATTTAGGCGTTTTTTTTTTATTAAGGTGAACTTTAGAATGAGGGGCTTGTCCAAGATGGTGATGCTCCTGCTCTGTCAAAAATTTGTTTACTGTCATCTGGATTTTTGTTGATGGATCATTTAGTATTATTACAATGAACATTAACTGTTATATACTGCAACAAACAATGATGTCATGGACTTTAAAGACTGAAGATGTGTTTAGCCATTAAATGATCTAAGATGTCTAGGATTTTATTTCTTATATTTATATTTCTTTCTTTTCACTACCAAGTGATCAGAAAATCTGCCTAAATACCTTTTCCAATATTAGTTTTTACTGCTTTGAATTTTTTGCTTTTAATTTGTGAGGGCTGGGAAACCAGAAAATACGTTTGTTAAAATTGTGTTTTAAATGAGTACAGCAGATTAAGTTGTGTGATACTCAATGCTGATGAGGTTGTATTAAAGTTAGAACTTCCTGATTATTGTTTGAAAGCATTAATGTAATCCTTTGAGAAAGCAATTTGGCAACATATAACAAGATCCTTAAAATATTTATATTCTTTAATATAATATTCTTTTTTCTAGAATTAACATAAGAACTTAATTTATTGCCAAAGTATTTATCCACAATGAAATTTTAACGTAATTTATAATAAGGGAAAAGTGTAAATGATCTAAATATTTAATAGAAGAGTTTTCAGGTAAATTATAGAACCTTTAATGAAACTGTATATAGTCATTAAAACTGATTATACAAAGATTATGAAATAACTTTATCTTGTGATACATGAATATGATAGAATATTAAATGAAGAAGGTAATTCTCACATCCACTTGAGACCTTAGAAATGATGTAAAAATAATGCGTATTTTATATAAGTTATCTCATTTAAACCTCACAAAAAACCTCTAAAGTGAGTACTATTATTATCTACATTTAATAGATGAGAAAACTGTCACCAAGAGTTTAAGTAACTGGCAAATAATTGTCAGAGCTGAGATTCCAACCCCAGCAATATGGGTCCAAGAACCTGTGCTTATAACCACTGGGCTTTAAGCAGAGACATCTCAGTTTATGCTTGGTGTCCTAGCATGATTATTTATAGTGTCCCATTTCATTCTTAGAAGTCACAATTTGAATGATAAATCATATGGTTACACTAGCTCTACATGAATACATGGCCATGCTAAAAAAATAAGTAAATTATCAATAGATCAGAAACTATGGGGATTTTTTGAGACTAAATCCATGTAGAATCAGAGGAAAGAAGAAACTGGTAACCCAAACCAGCTGAGGGAAAGAAGAGCATGAGCACAAAGAATCAGTGACCAAGTGGGCCTCATGCCTGGAGGCTATCAAAGTCAGGATGGCATCCAGGAGCAATTGGTGTGGGAAGTAGTGGGTTACTATAGCAAGAATAGTGAGTTCAGTTGTAGTAGATTGCAAAAATGCTCACAATACATCTCCAAACAAGAGAGTAGGGAGATGTGTTCCCACCCCTTTGAATCTGGGTTGGCCCTGTGGCTCTCTCTGACTGAAAGAATGTGATAGAAGTGACACTGTGTGAATTCTGGACACTGCCACCAAGTGAACAAGCTTGGGCTAGCCTGGTGGAAGATGAAACCACATGGAGAAGGACCAAGTGTCCCAGCTGACAGGTGGCCACCTGCCAGACATCCAAGTGAGGCTACTTAGGATTCCTCCAACCCCTGCCTGCCCAGCGGATCAGCCAACTGCCAACTGACTGCATATCTTGCAGCTGACTGCAAATGCACGAACAAGACCATAGAAAAACTGCCAGGTTGAGCCTAGCCCAAATTGCTGACCTGCAGAATTGTGAGTTGAAGAACATTGTTATTTTAAGCCTCTGAGTTTTAGGGTAGTTTAGGATGTAGCAAAAGTGAACTAATATACCAAGAAGCCCTTGCAAATATCTCCAACTTCCACCCCTCAAAAGTCCGGGCAGTATTTATTTGGAGGTGTCTGTGACAGGCAAGAGCAGTGCTTGGGACAGAAGAGTAGTGACTATATGTCTAAAGTCATTTGGGAAAAATTAAGATCAACTGAGCCTGGAAAAACGAGCCATGATATATCACAGCCAATAAGATATGTAGTTCCTTCTAGAAGATAAATCACGTATATCATGAGATGAGATGAGAACATGGCAAATTTTGCCAAATATCTAAGTGAACTCTGTCTGTATCCAGGAATTATTCTTACTGTTATTTAATGTTGCTGTTAAAAAAGAAGAGCCTAACCATTAGGCCTGCCCCTCAGTATAACTCACATACTAGAATTCCAACTGACTGTTGCTACAGCCCATAAATTTTGCCCCCAGATAAGTAATAAAAAGAGTTAGAACGCTTTCCCCCTTGGAAGCAGACACTTGGTTATACCCATAGGTTTGGCTGTAAATTGCAGGAAAAGATCCTCTTTCACTGTCAAGATAATAAGATCTGGCTGGATGTGGTGGCTCAAACCTGTAATCCCAGCACTTTGGGAGGCTGAGGTAGGCAGATCACCTGAAGTCAGGAGTTCGAGACCAGCCTGGCCAACATGGCAAAACCCCATCTACTAAAAATAAAAAAATTAGCCGGGTGTGGTGGTGTGTGCCTGTAATCCCAGCTACTCGGGAGACTGAGGTGGGAGAATTGCTTGAACCTAGGAGGCAGAGTTTGCAGTGAGCCGGGATCATGCCACTGCACTCCAGCCTGGGTGACACAGTGAGACTCCATCTCAATTAAACAAACAAACAAACAAAAATATAAGAAAATCAGAACTGCTTACCAGTTTGCAAAAATTAATCCATCTTACTAGCAGAGGGTGATTTTATTTATTATTGAGGTGAAATTAATATAACATGTAGTTAGCCATTATAAAGTATACAATTTAGTGGTACTTAGTATATCTGCAATGCTGTACAACTACTTCCTTGGAGTTACAAAACCTTTTTTCACTCCCCAAAGCATCCATACCATTAAATATTCACTCTCCATTGTCCCCTCCCCTCATTCCCAGTTAACCACTTATCTGCTTTTTGTTTTTATTATATGATTTGCCTATTCTGGATATGTCATACAAAAGGAATCATTCAACGTGTGACCTTTTGTGTCTGGCTTCTTTCACTTAGTGCAATGTTTTTGAGGTTCATCCAAGTCGTAGGATGTATCAGTACTTCATTCTTTTTAGTGGCTAAATTATATTCCACTGTATGTATATACCACAGTTTGTTTATCCATGTATTTGTTGATGGACATTTTTTTGTTTCCAACTTTAGGCTATTATGAGTAATTCTCTTATAAACATTTGTGTACAAGTATCTGTGTGGACACGTTTTCAGTTCTCTTGGGGTACATACCTAGGAGTAGAAATGCTGGGTCATAACATAGTTCCATTTTTAACGTTTTGAGGAAAAAAGCATTGGTTAAGATAATTAGAAAATAAAAGGAAAAACAAATACTCTGACTGGTTCTTTCTCTTGGTGCCCCAACATTTTGGTGCTTTAAAATTTTCTTCCTCATAGTTTATTATAAACAATTAAAAATAGGCCTAAAAAGGAAAATATTAAGCCATTTTCAAATGATGCACAAAGGTGAGATAAAAGATATATTTTAAAAAATAAATATCAAGCAAATAATAACAGATGTGATAACAGACGTAGTACTACAGATGTAATAACAGAGGTAGTACTACAGATTAAAAAGACTAAAAGAGATAAAGAAAAACATTTTGTAATGATAAAAGAAACATTTATCCAAAAAGACGTAACAGTTAAGATCTTATGTGGAACCAACCACAGATTTTCAATATACATAAATCAAATACAGGTGGAACTATAAGGAGAAATAGACAAATTTATAATTATAGTATAAGATTTAAAGTATACTCTGTCTTAGAGACTGACAATATTTACCAAAAATAAGATTTATTTATTTATCTTTTTTAGAATTCATGTAACACATTTAACAGGCAGTATCTAGTATCAAGCACATTGCTTTCTAACAGGTAGCTTTCAAGTGGCTGTTTGGCAGACATGCAGCTAAGGCCAGGTGGCTCAGCTAGTGTGACATGTCACACCCTATAGGTAGTGATAGATCCCATGGGTTTGGATAGTGTCTTAGGTCTTTCCCTTCTACTTCTGAAAATCTGTCAAAACGCCAGAGGGAGAGAGGATCCTATTGTTCCAAAAGTAACCTGTACTTTGTCCTCCAAACTTCGCTTATTGATGCAGAAGGTGGCAGGAGCATCTTCTGAGAAGCATGTTCACCTTTGTAAGGAAACTAACACCCATCATCAGGGGCTTAAGAGGCATTTTGAGGCATAATCGGGGCACAGTCAGGCACAGAACCATGCCAGACTTCCTCTATTGGAGGTTCACCTCAGCAGTTTCTAAATTACCAAGTCGTCCAAAACCAATTAATTGTAAGAAGGTGCCAAACTACATCCTTGGAGCTTGCCTCTGGTGGTTCCCAGGCAGAAGGGACATCCCTGTGCTGGGGCAGCGTCCAAGACCCTCAGGGAACCGATAGTCAAGGCTGGGAGCCTGGAGTGGTTTTCAGGTCGGGAATGTGCAGAGGTGTGGGGCCCAGCTCCACCTGAGCCCCTGGCTGCCACCCTGGAGTGAGTACCTGCAGCTGCAATGACAGCAGAGCAGGAAAGTATGTTGAGAAAGTCCAGGGAAAGAAGGTCAGAGGGGCTGCAGTGGCCCCATTCTCCCTGCTGTCTGATTTCCCCAACAACTTCGCCTTACTCCAGGCTGTAATGGAGCCTGGTGCAGGACACTGTGCTCTTCATATTTCTTTTGCCAAATGGGACTTTTTGTACTTGCAGTTGTTGCCTCCTCTCTGGTACTCTAAGCCTCACAGTCCTGTTTTTCTTGAATATAACTTGCTCCATATGGTCCCTTTAGATTCCTAGAAGAAATTCTGCTGCATCATGTTAGGTGTCCTAGAGGCAAATGAATTCAGATTCTCAGAAAAGAGTTAGGTTCTAAAGTACACATCTTATCCTAGTAGTTAAGTGTTGCCTGGAGATATTTTTTGCTATATCTGTTAGAACTGCTTTTGCTACTCTAAATGTGATATCTGTTTATGGGAGATTCTCCTTCCCTTCTTTGAACTGGGATAAAGAAAACAGTTGACCATATAGAGTTGTAAACCGAAAATAAAATTTGAAGGCCCTGGCAACCATCTGAATGTATGCCCTCCTCTGTCAGGGCGCTCTAAAATTTAACCTGAAAAACTGGTTCAGGCCAAGATAGGAATGGGGGTTGGCATGCCTCATTATACCCCCCAGCATTAACATCAACATAGACTGTAATTCTAAGAAGAAATATTTAAAGTCTATTCCTTCTAAAGCCTGCTATTTGGAGGCTTCACCTGCATGATAAAACCTTGGTCTCCACAACCCCTTATTGTAACCCAGACATCTTTCTACTGATAATAACTCTTTCAACCAATTGCCAATCAGAGTATGTTTAAATCTGCCTATGAACTGGAAGCCTGTTCCCCTTTGAGTTGTCTTACCCTTCCAGATTGAACCAATGTAAATCATGCATGTATTGATTGATGCCTTATGTCTCCCTAAAATGTATGAAAGCAAGCTGTACCCCAACCATCTTGGGCACATGTCATCAGGACCTCCTGAGGCTGTGTCACAGGTGTGTCTTTAACATTGGCAAAATAAGCTTTCTAAATTGATTGAGACTTGTCTCAGATACTTTTTGCTTTACAGTGTAATAAAACAAAACAAAACAAACAAAAAAAAACCCATCCATTAGCCAGTCCTGGTCATTATTTAGATTATATGAACCCCGAACATTTGAGACAGGTCTCAGTTAATTTAGAAAGTTCATTTTGTGAAGGTTGCGGACCTACACCTGTGACACAGCCACAGGGGTTCCTGACGACATGTGCCCAAGGTGGTCAGAGCACAACTTGGTTTTATACATTTTAGGGAGATAAGAAACATCAATCAACATATGTAAAATGAACTTTGGTTCGGTCTGGAAAGGCAGGACAACTCGAAGTAAAAGTGGGACAACTTGAAGCGGGGAGGGGGCTTCAGGGCACAGGTAGGTGAGAGACCAACAGTTGCATTCTTTTGAGTTTCTGATTAGCCTTTCCAAAGGAGGCAATCAGATACGCATTTATCTCAGTGAGCAGAGGGATGACTTTGAATAGAATGGGAGGCAGGTTTGCCCTAAGCAGTTCCCAGCTTGAATTTTCCCTTTAGCTTAGTGATTTTGGGGTTCCAACATATTTTCCTTTTACATTTCCCCCCTTTTCTTTTTTAAAATCTTTTGGAGAAAGCATTTTAAAAGAAAATGAGTTCCTGGTTCCAGGTTTTGTCTGATATCTCATGGCTAGGATGGTTTATTCCTGACCAGGTAGGTCTGGTGTTATGAGGAAAGCTCATTTTTAGAAGGTTGTGAAGTCTCATATCCTATGAAGAGAAAATAGGAGGACAGGGAGGAAGAAAAAAACAACAATAAACAAAAGAACAATCCTGGAAAATTGATATAGGCCACATTACTCTGAAGTCTATATATCAGTAGGCAGGTATGTAAGTGGCTTATGTATATAAATAGGTTGCTGTTATTTTCTTCTGAAGTTTAAGTTGTCTAGTTTCAGTTCACAGGGTGTTATGAAAGCACAGCTTAATTTTCAGTGACTCCAAATTATGAAAAATGGGGAGAAAAGAAGGACAAAATCTGAAAACATTATTTTGAAGACTTGTAGCCAAGAAAAATTAGAATTCTTTCCAAACTGTAGAAAATATAAAAATTGAAAAACATTAGGCAAGTCTAGAATTTAACAACAGGTGTTTTTGAACATAATTTTTGAATTATGTTTTTGAATTAAGTTTTTGAAACATAATTTTTCTCTCTCTAGCTTCCCATTTTTGCTAAAGACAAATCATGGTAGGACTGGTTTGCTTTATTATAGTTGGCCTAATTTGTATACAGTATAGCAAAAATAATTATTTTTTACATAACCTTTTAAATGGGGTTTGATGGAACTATGTTCCATAGGAGGAATCTCAGATAAAACTTTTCAAAAGCCGAGCCCTGCCATGGATTTGTGCCATCAAATATCTATGAGTTGGATGATCCTCTCCTTTTGAGGTTCCAGTATAAACCTGGGACTCCTGGGACTTTCAGTAAGTGACATTCTTTACTTGTCACAGGTCAAAAACTGTGTATAGGAACTGTGTACACAAAATATGGGGCCAGTTTTCCCAAGGGCTTTATTGGCTCCATACTTTAAGTTTGATTCCTTAAAGGAAAGCATACCATTCCAGTCAAAGCCTTGGTAAAATAATGAGTTTTTCCAATTGTGTCCTGTTACAAATGAAAACAGATTCTTATTGCACTTATGCAAATAACTGTATTGCCGTTAAGAATACTCATCAGTAGTTTCCAAATTCTGGAGAAATCAGGTAGAGAGAAACAAATATGCTCCAAATTTTGTTTATAGGGGTATACTAAATTGTTAAAAGTTGTCAATAGTTCAAAAGAAAAGTTTCAAGACTCTGAAAAACAAAACAAAGGATCAGCAATGTCTTAAGCAAAAAGTCAAAAAAATTCCTGTTCTGCTTGATATTCATGAACATTTTAGCTCTCCATGAGTCCTGAAAGTTTTTCCTTTACCCTAATGGCACATTCTCCAAAGTTATCAGAAACCTGCATTCGAGAGCACCTGTTAGAGTTTTATAGCTGATTATAAAATCACCTTCTAAAGAGGACCAAAACAAGACAACAATTGTCCGTGGATGAGAAAACGTTTTAGGGCAGCCATAGTCAAAGACACAATTGAGAGGGAAATTTGTTACCTCTGTGGCACACAGTGATTTAACATAACAATTATAATTATTACTGATAATATACACTAAGTTATATTAGAATTGTAGGAGTTTCCCATAATTTTGGAACACATACTAGTAACATATTTATACAAACACAGCCCAAAGAAAACCAAACACCATTTCACATTTGACAATGCTTCCTGTGTAATTTTTGTAACAAATAAGCCAAATTATGTCATTTTTGGACTTTAGGGAACTTAATATCTTAAAGAATTAATTATGTCAGAAAAAGAATAATTTATAATTTGATTTTGGAAAGCCTGTGAAATATCAAAGGTTTAAAACTTGATATCACAAAATAGGATCACAGGTCAATGTAAAATAAGTCATTCATTTAACCAAAGTGGTAACTCAAAGATTTTTTTAAAAAGGTGAAAACCTTCATTCTGTGAGAGAGTTAATTTTCCAAATAATAAGCCCTAATAAAAACAGGATGAAGCCAATTAAATTTGCTTTCCTTTTTTTTTTTTTTTTTTTTTTTTTAAAAGATGGAGTCTTGCTCTTTTGCCCAGGCTGGAGTGCAGTGGCACAATCTTGGCTCACTGCAACCTCCGCCTCCCGGGCTCAAGAGATTCTCATGCCTTAGCCTCCCAAATAGCTGGGATTACAGGCGTAAGCCACCACGCCCAGCCAAATTTGTTTTTCAAAATGTTATAAACAATCTATAAAATTTTAATGTAGACCGTAAGATATAACTTCCATAAGCTTTTGATAACCCATATAACTTTTATTAAGGAGTCAGTTAATGCTTCAAGAAAACCTTGTTAATTTGACACAGGGGGCCCATATGCTGGTCTTGCTTCAGTGTGCCTTTAACATTAATGATTAATTTATAGAGAATATGAACTAATTTTTTTTTTTTTTTCAAAATCAGCCCTTACAATCCCACATGCCCACCTCTTCCATGAGAGTTCCTGGGCCTTGAATTGAAATAGCTTTAACTTCTAGCCCTGTGTCTCTGACATGCAGTTTATTTTGATTGGTATCTTCTATGGGGCCTAAAAATGGAGCTTTAATTGCTGTCAGTGTTTACAATTTAGCAGGACTTGGTGTCCTTTTTAGACCCAGAAGTCAAAGCCCTCTAACTCAATGCCTTTAAAAGTGCATACAGAGAGATACACAGATGTAATAACCTTATTTTTTTTTTTAATTTAATCTCAGTTTTTTCCCTAAGCAAACCAATGCTTTATAATAATAGCATAGTAATTGTTGTGATAACGTGTAAATCTGTTAGGCCAGTTACCAAAAATCAAAAGAAAAGATCTTCAGCAGTGCACAGAATATTATGATGGAAGAAAACATTTCCTTTAGACCTTTAAGAAAACATTATCAGGCCACTACAATAGAAGTCCAGGAAAAAAAATATATATATATGAGCTGAAAATGAGTTGAAGGAGAGCATTACTATTTCATACCCTTTAAAAGGGGGAAGAAAATGGAGAAATGCAATAAAAGTTGAACTTTGGCTTAAAAAAATTAAAATTTTTTATAATTTATTAAAGTAAATAAATCCCTTAAGAAAATTTCATTGTTCTAACCAATTATTTAGTGTATAAGTGGTTTCCTTTTTACATCATACCCAATCTCTAGAAAGCCCATTATAGTTTTACTTTAATTATAGACAATTGACCATATAAAAGTTTTTTTTTAATAAATCATTTTATTGTGACTTACAAAGGCCATTCATGACATGCTTGAACTTTCTGGTTTGTCCTGAACATCCATCTTTCTTAAACAACCAGTCATTGTATTCTAGGTCTAAATTTACCATTCAATATTCTTTCTCATATAAAATTATTTGTCTTTAAGCTTTCTTACCAAAAAAACCTCTTTATTTCTATAACTTTCTTTGTATTTCTCTTATTTCTCAGATCTGTTTACCTTGTTTTATATATAACCTTTAAATAAGCTTTGAATTAGACAAAGCTTGTTCATTTTTATTTTTTTTTGAGATGGAATTTCACTCTTGTTGCCCAGGCTGGAGTGCAATGGCAGGATCTCAGCTCACTGCAATCTCTGCCTCCTGGGTTCAAGCAATTCTCCTGCCTAAGCCTCCCAAGTAGCTGGGATTACAGGCATGCACAACCATGCCCAGTTGATTTTTGTATTTTTAGTAGAGACAAGGTTTTACCATGTTGGTCAGGCTGGTCTCAAACTCCTGACCTCAGGTGATCCACATGCCTTGGACTCCCAAATTGCTGCATGAGCCACCATGCATGGTCTTGTTCACCTTTTTTAGACAAAGGACACACTTTTTTTTTTTAAGCAAGAATGTTTTCCTACAATATATATTTGTTGGAAAATACACAAGTAATGAAATAACAATTATTTAATTTGATATATCTTTATATTCTAAATCATGACCAGTTTATCTACAAGTATTTATATCATTACCTTTACCTAATTATTTTGTTTACCTAGGTTATTTATGAAAACTGTGATAGTCATGATTTAAAGTTATGAAGCTGCCATTGCAAAATAATAACTGAGACAGTCAAAAACTATTTGACCCAACTGACTCCATCTTGCTCTTAACCTCCAAGCTGTCCTTGTTCATTCCTGGGCACAGGTGGAACTAACTTTGAGAGGAACTTCGTTTATAGTTTAGCTTTGAAACAAAGATGATAACAGTCCTTTTCCAAAACAAACCTCCTTACTGTCTGTGGACTAGACTCCCTAAAGCCACAGTATTAGAAGTTGTGGTAATCTTGCTAAATTCAAGATGCAGCTATCTTCATTAAACCCATATCAATGTCTTATTTATTAAACATTACACAAGTGAAGATAATTCTGTTTTGGGCTGGGTTTATAGTTCTGTAACCCCTGTGCCAATTTTGACACACACCTTATAGTATTTGCTAGGGATAAGTATGAAATTGCTTGATTAATAAATGCAAACAAAAATGTATGCTGGCAATTCTTAAGACATTTCTAATACTACTTTACCAATAATTTTAAAGCTAGCTTATTTATTAAAGATTTTACTTAAGTTACATAAACTTAAAAAAGCATTTGACTAGTCTTTTCTTTTTCCCTGATAAAGTATTTGATTTAAGCAATTTTATTTTTCTTTGAGCCAATTAATTAGAGCTCTTTTATATGTTTTCAGTGGTGAAACATTGTGTACACAACATATAAATACATAGACGTATTAGGCATGCTGATAGAAGTACATCTTACAGATTCATAAAAACCTTTTTTTTTCCTATCTTAGACTTTCAGATTCTTGATAACCTGTTTCACAACCCTAGGCAGTTGTCAGCTAAATAGCCTTAAATTGGCATATTAACAGAAACACCTCAGGTGTATGTCAGATAGCACAATTTACATCATAATGTACACAAAGAAAGTTTGGTGAGGTAGAGAGAAATTAAAACAGATTTAATTGCCAACTGAACATAAAACTATAGAAATTTATCATTGGATTGTATAAGGAGACCAATTTTATTTAGATAGGGACTACCTATTTTTTTTAACTGGATCTGTGAGCTCTAGGCAGGGCCTACACTGAATTCTGGGTCTCCAAAAAGAAAGAATTATTATGAGGCTAGACCATGTGATTCTTTTACACTGCACTTAAAAAATGTTTTTGGCCAGGTGTTGTAGCTCATGCCTGTAATCCCAGTACTTTGGGAGGCTGAGGTGTGTGGATCACTTAAGGTCAGGAGTTCGAGACCAGCCTGGTCAATATGGTGAAACCATGTCTGTACTAAAAATACAAAATTATCTGGGTGTGGCAGCACACGCCTGTAATCTCAGCTAATTGGGAGGCTGAGTCAGGCAAATCACTTGAACCCAGGAGGTGAAGGATGCAGTGAGCCAAGATCGCGCCATTGCACTTCAGCCTGGGCAATAGAGTGAGACTCAATCTCAAAAAAATTTGTTTTTTAAACAAAGACGGTTCAGACTAAGTGTCTAAACTACACTCTTTCTTAAAAACCCAATACCTATTTTAGTAAAAAAATCAGGTGAAAACATAATTCAGTCAACTGAGAAGAAAAAACCTCTTGCTCAAAAAAAAGACAAGGTCCTAGGAGAGAACAACAAACAACAACAACAACAAAAAATGAAGGCCTTTTAAATACAAACATGCACGTATGCACACATACACATACACACACATATCGGATGTTAGCCTTTTAATTAAGCTGACTTTTAACCATTGAACTGCTTTTAAAAAAAATCCTTTTAAATCTCATTACCATATTTTAGCTAGGAAAACTTGCTGCTATTTCAAAAGTACCAAGTAACAAACCAGAAAGGGCTTGATTTAGGAACCAAACCCAGGCTGTGGTGGTGAAAAAAAATATAAAAGCAGGACCTTAGCTATCGAACTGCAGCATAGAATGACAGCCATTGCTCTTTCACTTTGGTCTGGCTAGCAAAAAGGTGGCCTTGTTATGTAAATAAAGCCCCTTAAGTACTCAAAATCAAAAATCTTTTTTTTCCTTTTGTTGGCCATTTTTCTCCTTCTACCATACCACCTTGTGTGTGGGGGGGGGGGAGGGGGTGGGGGGTGGGGGAGGTTTTAGCCACTTTAGAGGTCTTGTTCCTCATAATTTGGAACTTTCCTTCAGATTTGATCAAGTTGGATAGAGTTGGTCAAACCCAATGGGAAAAAGACTGAAACAACAACAAAAACAGAAACAAACAACAACAACAAAAAACAGTTAAGCAAAACAAACGATCATGCCACTTACATGATTACTGAGCACTCTAATGGTAAGAAGAAATTAAGACTAGCTGGTTGTTAATCTTAACTTTAGCCAAGACATACCCCAACTCAGTTACTTACCTAGGGATAGGTCTCAGGCTGTAGACTGCTCTCTACCATCCTAGAAGCAGGAGAAAGACCTCATTTTCCCTTTTAGAAGCGAGCTCAAACTCCACAAAGGAGTTACCTGCCTTGGATCATCATGGAAGCAGGAAAACTTGCCTTCCTTGTTGGAAGAAAGTAGAACTCCAAAAAAAACAAAAACAAAAACAAAAACAAAAACAAAAAAACAGGGACTTGTAAGGCAAAATAAACTTTAGATCTAGATTAGATCTTGGCCAAATTTTGGGAGATCAGGGATTCTCTGGAGGGGGTGCTCTCACACCTCAGCAAATTGTCCTGTTGGTTTGAGCCATAAAGTTAGCTCATGCTGGTAGCAAGCACCAGTAGGAGATTTGTCAAAGGTCAGGGGCATCTCCACTCAGAATCCCTCTGTGGTTACCAAATGTGAACCCCCAAAATTTGAGACAGGTCTCAGTTAATTTAGAAAGTTCATTTTGCCAAGGTTGAAGACGCATGCCCATAACACAGCCTCAGGAGTTCCTGATGACATATGCCCAAGGTGGTCAGAGCACAACTTGGTTTTGTACAGTTTAGAGAGATATGAGACCTCAATCAACATATGTAAGATGAACATTAGTTCGGTCTGGAAAGGCAGGACAACTCGAAGTAAAAGCAGGGCATCTTGAAGCAGGGAGGGGGTTTCCAGGTCACAGGTAGGTGGGAGACAAGTGGCTGCATTCTTTTGAGTTTTTGATTAGCCTCTCCAAAGGACTCAATCAGACACACATTTATCTTAGTGAGCAGAGGGATGACTTTGAATAGAATGAGAGGCAAGTTTGCCCTAAGCAATTCTCAGCTTGAATTATCCTTTTAGCTTAGTGATTTTGGAGTTCCAAGATATTTTCCTTTCACAATTATATACAGTTAACAATACTGAATGAAAGGTGACAGGCAAACATAATTGCTTCTGGATGCAGATGTTTACATTTCTTATACCTGAGATGCTTATGAATTGGAATTGAAGAGTGAATGTTGAGCAAAATTTATACCTGGTTTAGCCTTGCCACAGGGCTGGGTAGGGCAAACAGCCCAGGCCCCTTCACTTATGACACATTTACAGTTGCCCTCTGCACCTTCTCCTATCTTCCCACTGAGTACCTTCCAAGCAACAGATACTGTGGTGATTGCTGAGATCTGACAAAGAAAAAGACTACCACTCAATATCTGAAACAAAAAGCTGAATCTAATGGTGCCTGAAGCACAGTCTCCTCCAGTAAAGCAAGGAGCTGATTGTCTATAGAAGTTTGTGGAGCATGAAGTTGAGGGATTGGCAGAATTTCAGAGGTGGGAGTGGGTTCGTTGTTGCCAGCTAGGGAAACTTGGTTGTTTAGATGAGATTGTTGTGGATTGGCTGGCTTTCAAAAGCATGGGGCTGTTTCTGGCTAGATTTCACAAGTGTGTTCGCTTAGGTAAGTTGCCATCAATCCACCAGACCAGATTATTTTATTTTATTACTTTTTGTTTTTTTTTGAGACAGGGTCTCACTGTGTTGCCCAGGCTAAAGTACAGTGTGCAATTACAGCTCACTGCATCCATGAACCCCTGAGCTCAAGTGAACCTCCAACTTCAGTCTCCCAAAATGCTGGGATTACACATGTGAGCCACCATGCCTAGCCCATTAAACCAGTTTGGAACTGGTTCTGGTGGTTACTTGTTGCCATAACTGCAGCACGTTTAATCTTTTCCCAGGAGTGTCGGAATTTTTTTATTTTCAAGTCTCTGCCTTCAAGAAAATCATTATCTATGTGGGGGATAGCCATGCAAACTATACATAGAGACAGCATAACAGAGAAGTTAAAAGCACAGTTTTCTTGCTAAACATAAAAGATTGGTGACTTGCATTTCCTTCTGTTCCTTCCTGAATTTTCACCTAGATGACACTAAAGGGATTTTAAAAGGCATAAATCTAAGAGAAAGAACATGAAGGGAGACAACAGGAGAGGGTAGAAGAACAGCTGAGAGATGCCAATTAAATTTTGGAAGCCTCCAAATCAGTTTGCAATTGCTAACTGATCTAGCAGACCAGAGAAAGCTGAAACAATACTGCCTGCAGAGAGGGAAGCCAAAAAGAAAAACCCTGCCTTAAAACCCTGGAAAATCTCAGGAATAGGTAGTATTAGTCATCTCTGAAGGTAGGGGTAAGAAGTGAGGCTGAAAACAGAAGGATGGATTGAATATCTGTGAATGAAGCAGTTAGACCCTTATATCCCTTTCCATACCATAGGCAGACAAGTAACCCAGCCCAGCAGAAAATGGAAAGGTATTGAATTGAGGAACTCAAACTCAGGCATAGGTGAAAGGCAGGAAGCTCTGCAGAAAGTAGGGGAAATAAGTGGAAATTGATATATCTCAAAGTAAGACTCTAAAGCCTCCTTCCTTACCGTGGCTTAGAATGTTGGCATCTATAACACCCACCAAAGTATGAAACTGGAAGGAGAATTTCTCCTGAGGAAAATGGCCATGCCTAGAAAAAAGACTTACAGATGCTGACACATTTCTGGGGAGGTTTTCCCTAGGGAATAGCTGGGGCCCTACCGAATCATTCTTCAATAAGACTATAATTCAATACATTGTACTTCTCCACAAAGGTTTTGTTTTTAGGTTTCAGTGCCTCACTTTTAGATATAAATGAATAGGTAAGAATCATCAGACACTTGAGGAAAGTTTCCAGCATAAAGAAATAGAGATAAAACAAACAGGAAAGAATGTGGAGGAAACTGAGACAATAAAGGAATCAGAAAAGTTAGGACCTACGATTTATGGTCTCAGAGAGATAAAAGAAGCTATTGCATTCATGAAGAAAAAATGAGACGTTTTTTAAAAGCCATATGTAAGCAAGCCAGGTTCAGTGTCATGCACTTGTAGTCCTAGCTACTTAGAAGGATTGCTTGAGCCAGGAGTGTGAGTCCAGCCTGGAAACATAGTGAGACCCTGTCTCTTTAAAAAAAACCTATATAAGATGTATTAAGTAATACCATAGAGAAATATATAAAGCTGCATAAGAAGACTTTTGAAAGTAGAACTTAACCCTGTCAGGAGGAGATAGGAAAGGTTTCATAGTAGTAGAAAGCTGAAACGGGGTATAAGTGGATGAATAAAGTTTGACAGGTGACGAGTGGGAAGAACATTCCAATGTAGAAAGGTATAAGCTGTAACATAAAAGTCTGAAAGATATGTGTTAGCAGAAAGAATGTGAGCCAAGAATTTATATATTGTGCTTAGTTGACTTTCAAGTATAAGGCCTACAGATCAATTGTTATGGACATTTAGGATCTCAGGGAATATCGCTCCCATGAACTCTTCCTGAGGAATGTACTAGAAAATTAGCCTCAGATAAGCAAAATGACTAGAGAGGCATTGACATAATGACTGGTGGCACTGGTCCTTAATAGGTCTAACATCACAAAAGAGAGATAACCATACATTGTGTACATCCTACTGCAAGAGCATGGCAAGAGCATAGCTGTGAAGCAGCAGTGTCAAGAAAATTAAGCTTAAGTCTAATCATGATGGAAACCTAAGATGGGTGGACACTAAACTGAGAGAAAATTTGGAAGCTCCCAGACCCTGGGTTCCATAAGGAGAGCGAGGGAAGGGTAGGAGTGAAGAATGATGTGAGACTCCCAGTGCAGGTCACCTTCCAATATTTAATCCAACATTTTTTAATCTTTAAGCTGGTGACACCTTTGGATATTGCCTATGATCTCTGAATCACACAATGTTGCTTTGCCTTAATTTTGGCTCTCTGATGAAGAAGATTGAATTAATCACACAGCTCGATTCCTAGTACATTATCATCATTAGTCTGAGCAAGGTCCTTCTCTTGTTTTATTTATTACCTATTAACCCCATTTCCCACTTGCATCTCCTTCCTCTCCTATAGGCAAACATTCTAGTCTTTTTAATGTGTTTTTGTTTTTTTGCTTGTTTCTTTATATCATGCTTACAAAACGGATATCTTTGTATGCATGTGTATTTTTGTTTACAAAAAAGTGCATCATATACATCTTAGTCTTGGGCATTATGCTTTAAGTTCAGCCATGTTGCAATGTGCAAATCTGATCTATTGCTAATCTACTCTTCCAGTGATGGACACCAAGATTATCTATTCACTGTACCACAAATATTGTTACAATGTACATCTTTGCATATGACCCTTGGGACATATGTGACCTGAGACTATGGACCTGAGACTATCTGAGCACGGGAAGGAGCTTAAATACTGCCCAATATTCATTCAATGTTAATCAACAAGTATTTGTTGAATGTTACTATAGTACCAGCTACTATTTTAGTTTCTAGGCATATAGTGGGAAACAAGATAGACAAGGTCCTTGCTCTCAAATAGCTCACTTTCTAGTGTAAAGAAACAGAATAAAGACATTTTTTACACATAATAAAAAGTCCTATGCAGAGAACGAAAACATTGTGATGTGCTAGTGTCAGAATGGCTATTTAGATTTGTTAGATAAGAATAAACATTAGAGCTAAGATCTTGAATGACAAGAAAAGGTCAGCTAGGTAAAGAGCTGGGTTAAAAGCCTCCTAAGCAGAGGACACGGTAAGTGCAATGGCCCTGAGGAGGGAATAGCCTTGACTTATGGGGAGAGCAGCAAGAAGGTCCAGTGTAGAGATGAGGAGTGTAATGGAAGAGAAGTGTATTCGTTATCTATTGTTATGTAACAATATTACCACAAATGTAGCAGCCTGGCACGGTTTAGCTGGGTCCTCTGCAAAGCTGCAATCAGGGTATTGGCCAAAGTAGGGTTCTCATGGGAGGCTCATCTGTGAATCTGCTTCCAAGCTCAAGTAGTTGTTGGCAGAATTCAATTTTTTGCAGGCTCTTGGCTGTAGGGCCTCAACCTCTTGCTGGCTGTTGGCTAGAAGCTGCCTTCAGTTCCTTGCTGTGGGGGCCTTCCCATTATGGCTGCTTGCTTCCTCAACATCAGCAAGGGAGAGAGAGTTTCCCAGCAAGAGAGGTTACAGTCTTGTGTAAGGTTATAACAGAGGTGATGACCCGTCATCCTGGCTGTATTTTGTTGGTTAAAAACATGTCCAGGTCCTGCCCACTCAAGGGGAGGGAATTACACTGGGATGAATACCTGGAGGTGGGAATCATGGGAACCACATTAGGGACTGTCAGCCACAATGAGGAAACAGGGGTGGAGGTTGCGGGAGGGTTTATATCATGAACACCATCTTAAGTACTATAGTATGAATTTGTTTTTTCTAAGTGAGGTAGAGAATCATTAGGAGACCTGAGCAGGAGATTATATCATATTTTAAATTCTTAACTATCCCTCTGCTTCAGTGTCTAAGAGAAATTGTAGTGGGGTCAGCAGGGAAACAAGAAATTCATAGGAGGCTGTTGCTGTAGAGAGCAAACAGTGGCCTGGCTTCAATGGAAGTGTATATAGAGAGAAGTGGACAGAATTGGGATATGCTTTCAAGGTAGAGTTGATAGCACTTGCTGACAATTTATTGGGGGACTGTTAACAGACAAATTTAGTAGTTTGCCCAAGTTCACAAACTATCATTAGAAGAGCTAGAATTAGAACTCTGCCTGCCTGGTTCTTAGTCCCGTTCTCTTTCTACTATGCCATTATAGATGCATGATATATCCAGTACATCCTCTCTATACTAACTCTCATTGCCTGCCCTTTACCTCTTACCTTCAAATTTTGCTTTAAACAAATAACCATTGCACAGGCTGCTCTGAAGAAGATGCATTGTTGCTGCCACTCTAAATAATGTTTTTAGAATTGGTAACATTAACAGTGATAGTGTCAGGTAGGGGTAGCAAAAGGAATGATCTTAGAGAAAACATGCCTACTCCAGCATTTGCATTAAGCTCCTGTGATGCCCCCTCTACATATTTATAGAAGTCTGGGTAGCCCAAGCTACCCAGCATGGGAAAAGAGACTATGCTGTCTTCTTGATTTGCGCTGTCCTGAGTTGTGGGGTTTTTGTCTTATGAATTGTTTATATAGTGCCCTACTTCCTTTCCCTAGGCTGTCCTAATCCTTTCATGGCATATATTCTTCCTTGGCTACTTTTAGAGTAGATAATGGCTCATGAGCAGAAACTGTTTTTGTAAGAATAAGGACCAATTACTGAGTATGATATGACAGGCAATGTGCTAAGTACTTTACATCTATTAGCTCATTTAATCATCAAAACACTCCCATGAATTATAATCTTATTTCAGAGGAAATAAAACTAAAGCTCTAAGAAGCTGACTTATTAGCTAGTAGTTTACTTACCTGCATCTGAAGGTGACTTTCCTAGAAAAAAATAATTTGCCTCAATAGTGAAACATTCAGCATTTAAGTGAAGTTCCATTTAGTCTTTTTTCCCCCATGTTGTTTTACTTACTAGTTGTTAGGCATTTTGAAAAAAAAAAATTATGAAGCCTTTAAAAGTATATATCTTTTAAAATTTCCTATGAAAATCAACATGTTTATTTTCCGTTCTTCTCCATGGCCCCAAGATAATTTCAGTGCCAACCTACATGAATAATATGCATGCTCTCAGGATTCCTGCTGAGATTAAGGGAAATATTCTTATTCTAAAAGTAAATAATTTGCTGAATTTTTTTCTGGCACAGACATCTGCTTTAAAGCTTTAATTAATGTTGCATGGCTTTAAAGAGACTAGTTTCCAATAGCCCGAAAAATATCAACATTATGATGAAGATGAAACAGATGTAGAACACTCAGATCAAATAAGGAGCTCAATTATCTTTGGAAGGTAAACGTTGCTGACGCCAACTTTTGCTTCCTGATACTAATTACAAACAAAAAGAATCCGAGGAGGGCAATTCAGATGGGGCAGCTGGGAGGGGAGACTGGAAAGAGAAGTAGGGAAATGCCATAGAAAAGGTAAGGCAGCCAGTGAAGGTACTTTATTTACCAGCTACCATGTGGAAAAACCCTAGGAGGTAATGTAACATACAAACCTCAGAATTATCCCACTAGAGGGATGATGGAGCTGGAAAGTCAGGGATGAATGCTCCTTGTGACTTGTGTGTATGGTGGGGGGTTGAAGGTAGTGGTGTTCATTTTCTGTGCTTTTGACCTTCCTATAATCCCATAAGACGCCTTGTTCAGATGGGGATGGGACTCTGAGGCACAGAGACTGAGCAGATATTGACAGTCGGAAGTCACAGGAACACACTGACAGGTCTGGGCTGGCAGCAAATGCTACACATGCTGTGTTAATGATGGGGAGGATAAACAGGTTGCATATGTTGCTGATGGGAGTTTACATGTGGCTACCTCTATGAAAATCAATTTGGAAACACCTATCAAAGGCATAATTGATCCAGTAATACTACTTTGAAGGTTTTCTCCTACAGATATATTCATAAATGTGCAAAATGATGTATGAATAAGGTTATTAATTGCATAATTGTAAGGCAAAAGGTTGGAAATATCCTTAATATTTTTCACTAGAGGACTGGTTAAATTATGGTACCTTTATTTTTTTGTATACATTTATGAGTTCCAAGTACAATTTTGTTACATGCATAGATTGCCTAGAGATCAAGTCAGGGCTTTCAGGGTATTCATTTCCTGAACAACTTACATTGTGCCCATTAAGTAATTTATGATACATTTAAATGCAATACTGTGCTTGTTTGAAAGAATGAGGAAGCTCCTTGTATAATGGTATGGGGTTGATTGCAAAGATAAACTGTTAGGAGAAAAAAGCAAGATGTAGCGGTGTTTGTAAGTGAACATTTGGATTAAAAAATGGTGATGGTGGTGGGAGACTATACTTGTTACATGTGCATAAAATCTATGGAAAGATCCACCGAAGATAGTTAACACTTGTTAACTCAGAGGAAGGGAACTGAGGACAAGAGTGAGGGGATACTTTTCCTTCCGTATAGCAACTGTATTCCATTACCTACTCAAAAATAAAATGTAAATAATTTACAAAGAACATTGCATCTTGGGGGCAGTTGGGACCTGCTAAATTTTGTTTTAATCTTTCACTGAATATGTGATCAGACCTGTTGGGATGGACAGGCAGTTGGGTGGGATGCAGAGTTTCAGGGAGCCTAAAGGGAGAGACAATGACTGGATAGAGAAGCAACCAAAGTTTAGTTCCCAGGGCCAAAGCGCCAATCAGGGAATAGTATTCAGCTATTAACTTGTCAGGGAATGTACTTGAGTAGGTAGGGGACTCAATCTGAAGGTAAATGGTATCAGGCTACCTGTTTTAACTGCATTTTCTTAGATTCTGTATGTCTATTTGGTATCTACTTATCGCAGGGTCAAACCATAAGTAAATATGGTAAACCATATTTACTTTTGTCCTGTAAGTCGGCTTGCCGGGAACTCATGTGCAGACCAACTGAACCAAGGTTGTGGCTCCACATACCTTCTTATCTAACTCTCACATACCAAGCCACTGTTTGCCCTACCCTAAATCATCACAGGGCCAGGTATCAGGCAACTACATATCACCCCTATAGCCCAAAGCCTATTGGAATTATTCAAACTAGCCAATCCTAAACTGTTTCCCCTGCTCTGCCTTGCATTTGCTGCAGAACCCCAGTAAGGGCTCTGGCCTATGCCTTCCCCTCACTCCTGCTTCTGTCCCCGCAGAAATCTGCATGAATAGAGCCTCCTTTTCACCTTTTGCCTTCTGGACTTCCAACGCTCTCTGCCATGAGTATACACATTTCCACTTAAAACAAAAATAAAGCCAGAGCCCTTAAAAATAAAGCTTTATTAGTATATAATTCACATACCGTATCATACCATATATATTAGTTTTATATGGCTACAAATTACCACAAACTGGGTGCATTAAAACAACAGAATTTGTTTTATTGAATATTGTTTTATCGAATATTTACAGAATTTTATTTTACATTTACAGAATATACAGAATATTGTTTTATTTTATTGAAAATATTTATTTTCTCACAGTCCTGGAGACTGGACATCCAAAATCAAGATGTCGGCAGGGCATGCTCCTGAAGGCTCTGGGGAAGAATCCTTTCCCTCCTTTCTATGTTCTGGTGGTTGTCAGCACTCCTTGGTGTTCTTTGGCTTTTACTCCATTGCTTTACTCTGTCTCTGTCATCACATGGCCTTCTTCCCTGTGTCTCCTCTGTGTCTTCAAATCTCTCTTTTTTTTTTTTTTTTTTTTGAGACAGAGTCTCCCTCTGTCACCCAGGCTGGAGTGCAGTAGTGCGCGATCTCGGCTCACTGCAACCTCCACCTCCCGGGTTCACGCCATTCTCCTGCCTCAGCCTCCAGAGTAGCTGGGACTACAGGCGCCTGCCACCATGCCCGGCTAATTTTTTGTATTTTTAGTAGAAATGGGGTTTCACCGTATTAGTCAGGATGGTCTCGATCTCCTGGCCTCGTGATCCACCCGCCTCGGCCTCCCAAAGTGCTGGGATTACAGACAGGAGCCACCGTGCCCGACCCCAAATCTCTCTCTTCTCATGAGGACACCAGTCCTTGGATTTAGGTGCCCATCCTAATCCAGTATGGCCTCATCTTAACTTGATCACATCTGCAAATATCCCATTTCTAAATAAGGTGATATTCAAGGTACAGGGGTAGGACTTTAACATATCTTTTTAGTGGACACAAATCAACCCACACCACCATACAATTCACCCATTTAAAGTATACAATTTAATGGTTTTTAGTATACTCACAGAATTGTGCAATCATTATATCAACTTTACAACATTTTCATCGCCCCACAATGCAACCCTGTCCTGTACGCATTAGCAGTCACTCTCCATTTCCCTGCAACACTCCCCCAAGTGCTAGGCAACCAGTTATCCATGTTCTGTCTCTATAGATTGCCTATTCTGGACATTTCATATAAATGGAATAATATAGTATGTGGCCTTTTGTGCTGGCTTTTTTTTTTGAGATGGAATATAATTTTATTTTATTTTATTTTATTTTTGAGATGGAGTTGCCCACGCTGGAGTGCAGTGGCACGATCCTGGTTCACTGCAACCTCCACTTCCAAGGTTCAAGTGATTCTCCTGCCTCAGCCTCCCCCATAGCTGAGATTACAGGCGCCCACCACCATGCCTGGCTAATTTTTGTATTTTTAGTAGAGATGAGGTTTCACCACATTGGCCAGGCTGGTCTCCAAGTCCTGACCTCAAGTGATCTACCTGCCTCGGCCTCCCAAAATGCTGGGATTACAGATGTGAGCCACTGCGCCTGGCATCACTTAGTATAATGTTTCTAAATTTCGTACATACTGTATCAGTACTTCATTCCTTTTAATGGCTGAATAATATTCCATTGTACAGATATACCACATTTTATTTAAGCATTTATTAGTAGATGGGACATTTTGGTTGTTTCTACTTTATTTATTTATTTATTTTTAGATGAGTCTTGCTCTGTCGCCCAGGCTGGAGTGCAGTAGTGCGATCTTGGCTCACTGCAACCTCCGCCTCCCGGGTTCAAGCAATTCTCTGCCTCAGCCTCCTGAGTGGCTGGGATTACAGGCACCCGCCACCAAGCCTGGCTAATATTTTTGTATTTTTTTTTTTTTTAGTAGAGACAGGGTTTCAGCATCTTGGCCAGGCTGGTCTTGAACTACTGACCTCGTGATCCACCCGCCTCGGCCTCCCAAAGTGCTGGGATTACAGGCATGAGCCAGCACGCCTGGCCTGGTTGTTTCTACTTTTCAGTGATTTGAATAATGCTGCTATGAAAATGTGTGTTCAAGCTTTTGTGTGCATATGTGTTTTCATTTCTCTTGGGAGTATACCTAGGAATGGAATTGCTGGGTCATATGGTAACAGTATATTTAACTGAAGAACCGCCAGACTGTCTTCCAAAGCAGCTACATCATTTTACACTCCCACCAGCAATGTATGAGGATTCCAACCAATTTTTCCACATCCTCGTCAACACTTGTTATTATCTTTTTTTATTATGACCACCTATGTAGGTGTGAAATGATATCTCATTGTGGTTTTGATTTACATTCCCCTGATGAGTACTGATGTTGAGCATCTTTCCATGTACCTATTGGTCATTTTTATCTCTTCTTTGGAGAAATGCCTATCATATTCTTTGCACATTTTTAAATTGGGCTGTCTTTTTATTAATGAGTTCTAAGAGAGTTCTTTATATTTTCATACAAGTACCTTACATATAATTTACAAATATTTTCTCCAACTTTGTGGGCTGTCTTTTCACTTTCTTGATAGCATCCTTAGAAGCACAAAAGTTTTCAATTCTGATGAAGTCCAACTTATCTGTTTTCTTTTGTTGCTTGTGCTTTTGATGCCATATCTAAGAAACAGAACTTTTTAAAAACATACTGTTTATCAAAAATGAGTAAATCGTTTATGTGAAAAATTCTAGGCTAACAAAGTGATGGTGAATAAGAAGTATTTTTTTCAAATCACAAAATAACTTGTACCACTTTAGGCTTTCTTTCTAGAGTCACTTTTTTGTGTTTCATTTAGGATTCTTGTCCTTGTACAAAAAGAATAATTATGTAGATTACCATTTATTCAAATAGTTACTGGTGTATTATATTGCTGTGATTCCTATTTGGATAACTAACATTTCTGTTAAATAATGTTAGTTCTAACTTGTTCACAGAAAGTAAAAAGAATATAATTAAAATAATATGAAATTCTACCTCCCAAAGCTAATCCGAAGTTAAAGTTTATTTAATTAATTAATTAATTAATTAATTTATTTATTTATTTAGAGACAGAGTCTTGCTCTGTCCCCCAGGCTGGAGTGCAGTGGCATGATCTCGGCTCACTGCAAGCTCTCCCTCCCGGGTTCACGCCATTCTCCTGCCTCAGCCTCCCAAGTAGCTGGGACTGCAGGTACCCGCCACCACACTCGGCTAATTTTTTGTATTTTTAGTAGAGACGGGGTTTCACCTGTTGGCCAGGATGGTCTCGATCTCCTGATGTCATGATCCGCGCGCTTCAGCCTCCCAAAGTGCTGGGATTACAGGCGTGAGCCACCACACCAAGTTTATTTTAATAAAAAGATGCTCATTATATTTTAAGTCAAAATAGCAGAATTGCAAAATGTTTAGTACATTCCCATTTTTGTAAAAAATTATACAGATATTTTCTTGGAAATAAGTCTAGAAGAATATAAGCAAAAAGTTAATAATGGTAATCGGTGGAGGGGGCAGCTTTCATGTTTTTGGGAAAATACTTTTTCTGGTTTGGTATAAAAACTAAACATATGCTATAAAAATAAAGTGAAAACATCTTTCAGCCTTTTCCATGCATATTTAAAATGAAATATTTTACAAAGTCACAATCTTACTAAATGTTTTATACCGTGTTTTATCCTGCCCTTTTTTCACTTCATATAATATCATGTCATTGAATATTCTTTGAAAAGATGATTTGTACTACTTGAATTAAAATTCATGGCTTAGAGTCACATTATTTAGCCATTTCTCTATTGTTGAGTGTCTAGGTTGTTGTTTACAATTTCCCACCACTTAAAAAAATGTGGTGCCTAGCATTTTCATAAATAAGTGATTGTTTGCATCTCTGATTATTTTGATAGGGGAGATTCCTAAAATAAAGGCTACTGGATCAAAAGATATGAATATTTTAAAATGTCTTTCTGAATGAATTCCTTTGAAGACACTGTAACACTGAATTGCTTATTCTTTTTGGTTTCAATCTTCAAGTTTAATTGCCTATTTCTATACTTTATTTACTCCATGGAAGCAGCAAGGGAAAGGGATGAAGCGGCCTGGAGTGCATGTTGCATTAGAGGGCAGAAGACCTAGATTCTTTAGGTCTTGGAAAACTCACAAATGTCCACCAGCTTTATATACCTTGTCTTTCAAATAAGGGCGGGGGGGTGGGATTCCTTAGCCATAAATTCCACAGTTCTCTAGTTCTCCTTGGCTACTAGGAGAAATGCTGGGCTTCGTATTATGGCAAAAGCAGCAAATACAGGTATCTCAGTGGAGGATATGTTTTCATGGCCTAGTCTCTAGTCAGATGCTTTTACAGAAACGAAATGAAATCCTTAACAATGCTGTTAATAGGTAATATTATGTTTGTTTTATTATCAGCAGTTTTACAGCTGAAAAAACTGAAGCCCACAGAATTTCAGTCACTTGCCCAAGATCATTCAGCTAGTAAGGGGCAGGAACAAGAATCCAATCCATGTGTGTCTGGCTCCAAAGCCCATGCTGTTGACACTTTATAATACTTCAAAGTTGGACAGAAATCATATTTTTATGGGCTTGATATTATTGATTTAATGACACACATTCATAAGTTCTACACTGATTACTCCTCCTCTAAAGAACTTTTATTTCAAAGGTACTTAATGGTGGAGCACTATTAATGCATTAACTTCAATATCAGAAAAACAGTATCAACAAAACCAATAGGAATGTATAATTTTATGAAAAAATAAGCCTACCAAATTATTAATCTTACAAACTAGATATTTCTCTAAAAATACCCTAAACTATTATGGCAAGTTTTTTTTCCTACCTGAGGTCTATATTTCTCAGTTCTTTACTTTCATAAAAAGTTTCTCAAATATTTGAATAGACACTCTATGAATCAGCAAGTATGTGAAAGTACTGTATATATATATATATATTTTTTTTTTTTTTTTTTTTTTGAGACAGAGTTTCGCTCTTGTCATCCAGGCTGGAGTGCAGTGGCGCAATCTTGGCTCACTGCAACCTTCTCCTCCTGGGTTCAAGCGATTCTTCTGTCTTAGTGTCCCAAGTAGCTGCGATTACAGGGGCGCACCACCATGCCCGGCTGATTTTTGTATTTTTAGTACAGATGGGGTTTCGCCATGTTGGCCAAGCTGGTCTTGAACTCCTGATTTCAGGTGATCTGCCTGCCTTGGTTTCCCAAAGTGCTGGGATTACAGGCGTTAAGCCACCACACCCGGCCAAAAGTACTATCTTTTTAACAACCTTATGTTATTGTTCCTGTCTTTTTCTTTCTTAGCCTTCTTATTATTTTTCTTGGTGACTTTCTCCCTCTCTCTCTGTCTCTTGGTGGCAATTCTCCACAAAGTCTCGTAGAGCCAATAAGAAACAGACTTCTATCACCCACAACCATGTGTCTAAGATAATTTCTCATATCTCTACTAACACGCTACCAGGTTTCACATCCTTTGGTGGATTTATCTTTCCAGTTTCAACAATATGAAGCTATATTAATTTTAAGTGACTACAGCATAACCATCCCTGCAGCAATTGAACATTTGTCAGACAGTGCATATTTAACACCTTCACATTTTCAAAGGACGTAAAGTCTGGCTGTTTTTGTAGAAATCAAACCATCCATTATTAAAGTCTTTAGTATTTTTGTCTTCGGGTTTTTTGATTTGGTTGTTTTTGCCATTTACATCTATAGCTTTTACTGAATTCCCACTTAGCTCCACGAAGGCAGAAGCTATATTGTCTCAGTCACCATTATGCCTTATCACCTACTACATAGCAAGTGCTAAGTAAACATCTGTTGAATGAATAAATGAATATATTCTTCTATCAATGATTCGAGACAACACTTTTTATCATATTTCCAATATAGTTATTCCTTGCTAAGCTTGGAGGTGGCATGCCACAGATACTGCCTCACAGTTGGCAAGAAAAGTCACGGTCTTACAGAAAATAGGGAGTGGGAGAGGGTAAAATAAACTAAACTCCTGACAAATAAAAGTTTTGGGGACATGTGCTTTCAAAGTAAGCCAGACTTACTGACTTTAAAGATCTCCTCTAGCAGAAAAGCTTTTATCTGAATCATCTTTTTAACTTGTTCAGAAGACATTGCTTCAAGAGTATCTACTGTGGTATGTTCTCCTACAAATGTCACGCCATACGTATACAGACTGTACCCTACTGGACTTGAAATTCAATTATTTTTGCTTTTGCATTCTTTCGTGATGCATTTTTATAATCCTTCCTGAGAAGTAAATCTGTATGGATTTATTCATTTAGAAGAATATCCATTTAGTAGAAAATTTAAAATTTACGGCCTCCTTTTTGCCTGACCGATTAGAAGGCAAACATTTCTTTCTTTCTTTCTTTTTTTGAGATAGAGTCTTGCTCTGTCACCCAGGCTGGAGTGCAGCGGCACAATCTCGGCTCACTGCAGCGTCCGTCTCCGGGTTTCAAGCGATTCTCCTGCCTTAGCCTCTGAGTAGCCATGATTACAGGCACATGCCGCCATGCTCGGCTAATTTTTGTATTTTTAGTAGAGATGGATATTCACCACGCTGGCCAGCCTGGCCTCGAACTCCCGACCTCAGGTGATCCACCCCGCCTCGGCCTCCCAAAGTGCTGGGATCACAGGCTTGAGCCACTGCGCCGGCAGGGGGCAAACATTTCATGATTAATCTGACTGAAATACCATTTTTAGGTTCATCATTAGCTCGGACTACAACTCAGGCTGTGCTGTAACTTTGTGTCAACTCATTGATCCAACAGTGTGTCCTTCACATTTTTTCTTATGGCCACTGTTTTTTGTGTTACCAAAGGTGAAGGCATAGCCTTCCTCTCCTCATGTTCAGCATCTTCTGCGTTTCTCTGTTTATAAACAATGAGAAAAAGGGAAAATCTAGTATTTCTCTGACCCTGAAGAACACATATGGGATTCAGAGATTCAAAGTTAAAATGCAACATTAGGGTACATTATGTCACCAGGGACCGAAAAGAACACGGATAATAGATGCCAAAAAAATGTATTAAGTAATGTTAAAATTAATTTGTGTGAAGTTGACCAAGGCTTTTAAAACTAGACCTTTGTTTCCTTGATTCTTCTTCTGAATTTTCTGTTCTTTTGCTAGTCTCAATATTTTTTATCAGAGCGTCAGGGACAATCAGGACCTAAAAAACTCCACTTGGTGTAATAAGTAAACACATGTTGGGGCAAAGTATTGCTGAGTGTGTGTGTGTGTTTCTTATTTGGTATCAGAAACACCTTCCTTTCCTCAATAAACTTTTACATATTTCCAGACTTTTCTCTTAATTTTATGTAACCTTACAAAGATTTTTTACAGCTTTCTCTGCGTGCCAGTCAATTAATGTGTGTCACATGAACAAATAATACGGCTTGAATAAACTCAATCCTATTATTGCAGGTTGCGAAGTCACCTACTCCGTTTTTATGGCGATGCTGATTTGGGGCATTCTGCTCTTACAGGCTGATTCCCCGGTAAGGAAACGGTGTTTTTTCCCCATCCTACTATGAAAGATGCTATCTGAGGGGCAAAGGCGCATCTGCATTTCACGACTACCCACTAGGCTACGACAGCCTCAAGCATGGCTTATCTGGTAGTTCCGCGAAGGGCTCGCTGCCCTCCTGGAGCTATTGGAGTCACCTGTTCAAGGTCGCGAAACCACCGGTGCCGCCGGCAATCAGCGAGGTCCAGCGGGGCTGCGCGGTTTCCGGCCTGCCGGCGTTCGGCGTCGCCTCGGCCCCACCTGGTGCCCCGCAATCTGCGCAAAGGCTGGGAGACCGCGCCCTCTCCCGACCTACCACCAGCCCAAGCTGGGCCCGGAACTAACACCCGACAAGCGCTGGCGGCCAGCTGCAGCCGGGAAGGAGCACCGGAAGGAGGCGGTGGCGGGGCGGCCGAGGGCGGAGCGGGCCGGGGCGGGGCGCGGCCTACAAAAGCCACGCGCGGCGCGGTGGGCGGGCCTGGGCGCGAGCGGCTGAGTCGGCTGGGTCTCTGGCGCCGCAGAGGCCGCGGGCGAGGACCGGGAGGGGAGAGGGAGGAGACAGGAGGAGGAGACGCGAGTGCGGGGTGGCGCCGGTCCACCTCCGCAGCGCTCCTGCCTCCCCCAGGCTTTGGAAGGCGGGCCCGGGCTGCGGCAGCGGCGGCCTCGGCTGCCTGGGGAGGTGAAGTCGGGCTGCGGCGGCCTCGGTCGGCGCGGCGGAGGGAGGCGGCTGACCCGGCGAGGGTGGGCAGGTCTGGGCGGCCGGCGCCGCTGCGAGGTGGAGGGGCGGCTTGGCATCCCCGGGGCGGGGCGGGGCTCCCGAGGGCCGCGGTCGGTGCGTTTTCCGCAGGTCAGCCTCCCCCGGGGCCTTGCAGAAGCGGCTTCTGCGTACCCGGGGCGGCTGTGGGAAGGGTGGGGGTCGGTGCCTGCAGGGCTCTCCGTGGCCGCTCGGGAGAGGTGCTCTTCGCTCAGGCTCCCCCGGAGACTTGAGGGGGTGCGCGCTGGCGTGCATGGGGCCTGTTCTGTCCTTGGTTTGGGGATGCTCCTAAGGGGGGAGAAAGGGATACCTCGGGTGCTTGGAGGTCGAGAGACGGATACGTAAGTGCGCAAGGGCCACTGATTAGGGCACGGGAAGGGCTCGCTAGAATGAGCTCTTAAACTGGTTGGGTGTAAGCGGTTTTGGGCTAGTCTAAACCAAACAACTGAGAATAAACGCGGGGTTCCTGCAGGTTGAGAGAGTACCTGTCTGCAAATGTCCAGTAGTGATGGATTGCCTTGTAGGCCCCAGAGCAATCGGGGAAGTTAGCATTCTTGTTCAAGAAGCTGCTGGTTCACTTAGAGCTATAAAAGAATGTTGTGAGTTTGGATTTTCTTCCAAACGTTCAGGATTGAGGTTAGGGCTGGTGGTGAGGGATCATGTAAAGAGGTTTGAGTGGCTCAGCCTTAGGTCCCGGTGTGGAAAGCTTATTCTTTTGGTGTCATCACGTGGCCATGGGAATTATTTAGAATGTGATCTGCCCTCATGAGAAGAAAGGAGCTCTGAAGCCGTTGCAGTTCTTCCTCCCTATGTGGAAAATCGAATTTCTGGAAACATCCTCCGTATTGGGAGATTTTGCCTATGTAAAGGCTATCCTTATTGGCTAGCGGCACTAATTACTTTAAAAGTAGGATGGAAGTACAAGTATCTCAAGCATCATTGGGTTTCGAGCTCACTTCTGTGGAAAAGAGTTTAAGGGAGTGGTCTAGACTTTCCAGGGAAGTTATTGCCTGGCTGTGTCCCTCTAGTCCTAATTTTATACTTAACTTTCCCCCACCTCCTTCAGCCTCATCTGTTTCAATGGTGCAACTCTTTTCATCCCCTTTTGGTTACCAGTCACCTTCAGGCCATTCAGAGGAGGAAAGAGAGGGGAATATGAAGTCAGCCAAGCCCCAAGTGAACCACAGTCAGCATGGGGAAAGCCAGCGGGCCTTGAGCCCCCTGCAGTCTACTCTGAGTTCTGCTGCATCTCCTTCCCAAGCGTATGAGACCTATATTGAAAATGGACTCATATGCCTTAAACACAAAATTAGAAACATCGAGAAAAAGAAGGTAACTTTTTTTCTTCCAGTCCTGTAGATGCATGATCTTAAAGATTAAGGAGCTGACATTTTTCTTTCAGAGCTCATAGGTGTTCTCTACTAAAAATTTAACTAACCTTAGGTTTAGCTGCTTTAAACAAGCAGGTTACGTGTTGGAAATATTAAACATTTTCTGTTTCATTTGTCAAAACAACGGAATAAAAATATTCTTCATAGTTACATTATGCATGCTGCTGTTGAAATACTTTAAGAGCTAGCTATTTTAGGTGAGATTAATTCCTTATGTAGTATTAATGTTTCTTTTCATAGATGTGTTAATAGCTGATTTTTTAGCTTGTTTTCCTTGTGACTTTCTGCAGCAGTTGATATTGCAGTATAACTGCTGCAGTCGTTGGAAGGTTTAACCGTAGTAGAACTAGAAAATGTTTTACCACTTACTTTTGTGGTGTTAGGTGAAGATTTAAGATTGCTAGGTGAAAGCGTGGTAGTCAGCCTTGTAAAGAGACCCAGGAGTTAAGCCTAGCTACAGAAAATGCTGTTGTAAAGATCTAAATCCTTCTTCATTTCCTGAGTCATGTAGCCTGTGAAACAGACTGCACGTTGCTTTGCTGTATTACGTTTCTCTTCTGCTTTTGGACAGGTGAGGTTGAGTGACTATCTGGACCTATGTGTTGTTAAGTACTTTTGTGCCAAGACCTAGTTAGACCTTAAAGTTGCTTTTAATGGAGGAGTGTGAAGAGACTCTTTAGAGTCTGGTTGACTCTTTTTTTTTTTTTTTTTTAACCTAAGAAAGTAAAGAAGGGCAAGTTGCTAGTAGCTTCTCTGTAGCTCTCACCATTTATCTTTTTAACGTATGCAGTTGATCACAAGTGTGGTAAGGTGAGTGTGCCAGGTCAGCACAAATTCCCCATCACTGTGATAAATGATCAAAGCAGGATCTATTGACGGAGCCTCCCTCAGGTGGAGGAACTACATATATGTATGCTTATGCTCTCTAGCTTACCTATAGTACCTCTTTAATTTTGAATACCAGATAGTACGAGTACTTTTGTTTCAACCTTCTGGGAAAGAATTTTTCCACTAAAGCCAATACAGGAGGAACCTAAAGAATGCTTTTAGAGTACCATAGTGGGTCCGGGTGCAGTGGCTCACACCTGTAATCCCTGCGCTTTGGGAGGACAAGGCAGGTAGATCACCTGAGGTCAGGAGTTTGAGACTAGCCTGGCCAACATGATGAAACCCCGTCTCTACTAAAAATACAAAAAGAATTAGCCAGGCGTGGTGGGGGGTGCCTGTAATCCCACCTACTCAGGAGGCTGAGGCAGGAGAATCGCTTGAACCCAGGAGGTGGAGGTTGCAGTGTGCCGAGATCGCGACACTGCACTCCAGCCTGGGCAACGGAGTGAAATTCTGTCTCAAAAAAAAAAAAAAAAAAAAAAAAAAATACCATAGTGGGTTTATGTCATTATTATGGGGCCAACAAATGCAATTTATTTTTCATAATTTCCTTAAGTATCAAATATAATATGAAAAATAACTTCAAGATGAGCCTACTCTATGATAATGATAGAAAAGAATTCTTGGTGTTTCTGTACTTCCAATAGGAGTTTCTTTTTAGGAAAATGCCACATAATTCAACAGGTAACTGAACTAATAGTTTAAGCATGAGATTAGAGTAGGACTTCGTAACCTCTACACCACTGACATTTTGTACAGGATAATTCTTCGTTGTAAAGGGCTGTCCTGTGCATTTTAAGATGTTTGGCAGCATCCCTGGCCTCTAACCACAAGATACCGGTAGCACTCTTCACCTCCCTTCCCCCTCCCAAGTTGTGATAACCAAAAATATCCCTAGATATTGCCAGGTATCTTTGGGGGACAAAATTGTTCCCTGTTGAGAAGCTACTGTGTTGGGGACACATGATTTAGTAGGTAAGTCCCCATGGGTTAAGTAGTCTAGTTATTAATAGAGTCATTAAGAGAAAATAGTTTTATTACTGCTTAGGTTTTGTAATTCCAGACTCATGTGATTCTGTGTATTTTTTCTCCCCTGACTGGAACTCATCTACAGTTGCTGCATGCCGTATAGTAAAATGATAGTCTTGCAGATTGATAGCTTACTTCAAGGACTTTGTTTCCTAGAGACAAGATCTGGCATTTACTTTATTTGCTTCTGAATTTTATGTCAGACTATGGTAGATACAAGTTTCTCTTTTGTAGCTCAAACTGGAGGATTATAAGGATCGCCTGAAAAGTGGAGAGCATCTTAATCCAGACCAGTTGGTAAGTGGCTTATGATCTTTTAGTAAGACTTGCTGGTTTTCTTTTCTTAATAAAACTACATGGATTTAGTGCGATCAGTCTTTATAGCACACACACACACAGTTAAAATCCATAGTTTGTTCAAAACTGTTTCAGAAGACTTTGTTGTTTGTGCCTGTTAGATCTCAGATATGACTTTTTGTTCTGTTGACTAGAAGATGGTACGCATGGGGGTGTAGATTGTTAACAGGAGTGAAAGTGTAGACTGTCACTACGAGTTAACATACAGATTTAAGTTAAACTTATGTGCCAGAGTGGACTGAAGGAGAAGAGAAGGCATACTCTACCTTTCAGCTCTTCACTGGTATATTCTAAACCTGACATCTTTCTGCTCCAGAATGTGAAAGAATATTTACTGTAGCTTACCTTAGTTTTCTCTAGCTGCCTCACCTTAATTCCTTTCATGGTCTCTTCCTACTTTTCTATCCTGGGTTTTCGTGTGCCCTCTCAGGAGGCATATTATCTGATAGATATCTGGCCTTTAAAAAAAAAAAAAGCTTACTATAAACATTAAGCTACTTGCATTTTTTTCCATCGGTTAACTTCTCAATGATATACCTGGTAATTGCAAATTTTATGTAATTTGTGAAGGAGAGTTTTTGCAGCGCGGAAAGAAAACAGTGCTTCGTGGATGTTTGCCATTTTGACTTGATCATGTCTCCTGGCTAAGAAGGGACACATTTATTTGAAAATTATTTCCTCTTGTTTGTGGGTCTTTTGTCTTTATGTTTTTCAACTGAAATCTTTCGCTATACATCATAGATACTGACATTCAAGGACTTTTCCCATTCCATAGTGACTCCTCTTCACTGACCCAGAATTTTTGTGATGTAGTAAGTTATAATTTTGCTGAGACACATATTTGAATTGTGTGAGCTCTGCAAATGGTGCGCTCACTTAGCTGGGGAGAGGGCTTAGCTGGACATGCAGCATTTCAGCATAGCTTTGTTTTAAAATCACGGTGTGTTCAATAACTCTTAAAGTGATAAAACTTTTTTGTGTGTAAATATTCTTGAATGAAGTGTCCTGTTAGAGTTGTGTTCCTTATTTTTAAGAAACATCGGGGAGAGGGGGTTGGAGATTGATTGTTCCCATGGTAGCTCTCTAAGAAATGTTAAAGACATGCTATATTTCATTGCTCCAGCCAGGCAAACTTCATTCTCAGTATTTCATTACTGTCTTTATAGCCACATGTTGCTTCTATAATAAATGTATGAACTTTGATATCTGGAGTAATACTCTGACAGCTGCCCAATTTATATTGCCAACAGATCAGTCCTCTGAACTCAATATTTCTGTGTCCAGTTGCCTATCCGACACTTCATAATTTTTCCCTGTTCCCCAAAACCTGCTCCTCCTCTAATCTTAGCTATGTCAGTTGATGGCTTGATCAACTAGCAGGAGTTGCCAAAAATCTTGGAGAATTTATCTCCTTTCTCCTCATAGCTCACATCTAGCTCATCAGCAAGTCTGCTCACTTCTCCCTTTAAGATAAATGAGGAAACTGACCATTTCTGCCATCTTCATCTAGGCTATATAACCTTTCATCTGCGTTACTTATTATAGTAGTAATTACTTCTGCCTCACAGGTTTTTCTATTTCTGCCCTCTCCAAGTCTGTTCAACGTAGTAAACTCAGTGATCCTGTACTGATGCAAGTCAAGATGGTTATTCCTCTGCTCAGAAGTCCCCATTTGTT